>NC_000010.11:55597640-55749155 GCF_000001405.40 Homo sapiens
AATCAAATATAACTTCAACTACAAATGTCACCTTAGCCAAAACCTCTGCTAATTCAACTTTTTTAAAGGCCCTAAACTTCCAGGACTGCAAATGACCACTTCAGATTTATACCCAACAAGATTCTACCCTGACATCCCCCTAGTATTTCAAAATACCACTCAAATGTTTTTCATCCAGTTAATGTAGCTTAATTATTTAAAGCAAGGCACTGAAAATGCCTAGATGGGTCCGCAAAACCCCATAAACATAGAAGTTTGGTCCTGGCCTTTTTATGAATTCTCAGTAAAATTACACATACAAGCATCCCCGCCCCAGTGAGAATGCCCTCCAGATCACCTGGTTCAAAAGAAGGAGGTATCAAGCACGCATAAACGCAGCTCAAAACACTTTGCTCGACCACACCCCTACGGGAAACAGCAGTGATAAATTTTAATTCATAAGTGAAAGTATGACTAACCTATACAATATTTAGGGTTGGTAAATTTTGTGCCAGCCACCGCGGCCATACGATTAACCCAAGCTAATAAAACTCGGCATAAAGAGTGTTTAAGGTCTTCAGTCAACAAAGTTAAGCTCTATCTAAATCGTAAAAATCTCCAGCTGAAATAAAATATACTACGAAAGGGACTTTAATGTCCTGAGGACACAACAGCTAAGGCACAAACTGGGATTAGAAACCCCACTATGCTTACACAAATAGTTATATTAACAAGACTGTTCGCCAGAGTACTACATGCAGCAGCTTAAAACTCAAAGGACTTGGCGGTGCTTTATAGCCTTCTAGAGGAGCCGGTTCTATAATTGATAAACCCCGATATACCTCACCATCTCTTGTCACTCAGCCTATATAACACCAGCTTCAGCAAACCCTAATATATATATATATATATATATATATATATATATATATATATATATATATATATAGTAAACACAAGTATGCACTAGGTCAAGGTGTAGTCCATGGGATGGTAAGAAATGGGCTACATTTTCTACATCCAGAAATATCTCACAATAACCTTCATGAAATCTAAATGTTCGAAGAGGATTTAGTAGTAAATCAAGAACAGAGTGCTTGATTGAATAAGGCCATAAGGCAAGCACACAAGCCCGTCACCCTCTTCAAGTAGTGCTCTAGAAATCACTATTATTAATAATTGCTTACACACATACAGAGGAGATAAATCGTAACACGGTAAGTGTACTGGAAAGTGCACCTGGATAAACCAAAGTGTAGCTTAACCCAAAGCACTCGGCTTACACCCGGAAGATTTCATTACAACCTGATCGCTTTGAGCCAGCTCCAGCTCCAAGCCTTGCTAAAAAATATTATTAGAACTACTTAAATCAAACCATTTACCCTCGACAAAAGTATAGGAGATAGAAATTACTTATTCTGGTGCAATAGATATAGTACCGTAAGGGAACAATGAAAGAACTATATCAAGCACCAAAAAGCAAAGACAAATCCTTGCATCTTTTGAATAATGAATTAACTAGAATAAACTTCACAAAGAGAGCTCTAGCCAAGTCCCCCAAAATCAGAGGAGCTTCTCCAGAACAGCTAGAAGAGTACACTCATTTATGTGGCAAAATAGTGAGAAGATTCATTAGTAGCAGTGACAAGCCTACGGAGGCTGGTGATAGCTGATTGTCCAAGGTAGAATTTTAGTTCAACTTTAAACTTAACCTACAGAATTACTTAATCCTCCTGTAAGTTTAACTGTTAAAGGGGGACGGATCTTCAGATACTAGAAAATAACCGTCCTATAGAGAGTAAAAGATTTTACCACCATAATTGGCCTAAAAGCAGCCACCAATTAAGAAAGCGTTTAAGCTCAACATCTGACTAACTTCATTTCTAATCACCCTGTTAAACTCCTAATATTACATTGGACTAATCTATTATTCAGTAGAAGCAATAATGTTAGTGTAAGTAACATTAAGACATTATCCATTGCATAAGCTTACATCAGACCAGAATAATCCACTGACAGTTAACAACCTAATATTAACAAATGATTAATAGACATCTTATTATCTTTATTTTAACCCAATACAGTCATGCTCTAAGGAAAGATTACAAAAAGTAAAAGGAACTCGGCACATTTCACCCCATCTCTCTACCAAAAACATCACCCCTAGCATTGCTAGTATTAGAGGCACTGCCTGCTCAGTGACATATGTTTAAGGGTTGCGGTATCCTGAACTTGCAAAGGTAGCATAATCACTTGTTCCCTAAGTAGGGACTTGTATGAATGGCCACACCAGGGTTTAGCTGTCTCTTACTTTCAACCAGTGAAATTGACCTACCTATGAAGAGGCGGGTATAAATAAATAGGAGAAGACCCTGTGGAGCTTGAATTCATTAATGCAAATAGATTCAAACAAGCCAACAGGCCCCAATGTATCATCCCTGCATTAAAAATTTTGGTTGGGGTGGCCGGGCACAGTGGCTCACGCCTGTAATCCCAGCACTTTGGGAGGCCGAGGTGGGTGGATCACGAGGTCAGGAGATCGAGACCATCCTGGCTAACATAGTAAAACCCTGTATCTACTAAAAATACAAAAAATTAGCCGGGTGTGGTGGCACATGCCTGTAGTCCCAGCTACCCAGGAGGATGAGGCAGGAGAATGGCATGAACCTGGGAAGCAGAGCTTGCAGTGAGCGGAGATGGTGCCACTGCACTCCAGCCTGAGAGACAGAGTGAGACTCTGTCTTAAAAAAAAAAAAAATTGGTTGGGGTGACCTTGGAGCATAATTCAACCTCCGAAACGACTTAAACTAAGACCGCACTAGTGTAAGTCAGTTATTACACATTGACCCAATAATTCTATCAACAGGATAAGTGACCCTAGGGTTAAGAGTGCAATCCTATTCTAGCATCCATATCAACAACAGGGTTTACGACCTTGATGTTGGATCGGGACATCCTAAATGGTGTAGCCGCTATTAAGGGATCATTTGTTCAATGATTAAAGTCCTTCGTGATCTGAGTTCAGACCAGAGCAATCCAGGTTGGTTTCTATCTATTTAGCATTTTTCCCAGTATGAAAGGATATGAGAAACCGGGCCCACTTCACAAAGTGCCCTTACAAGACTAGGATTTTTACACAATATGCTATTGGTTACTGAGTGCTATTGTAGAACCGGTGCCCAGGTCTTATAAATTTCAGGTTCTTATGCTTTCCACTAAGCTGCATTGCCCTTCTCCTTTTTTAAAATTTTTTAAATTAATTTATTTATTTATTTATTTATTTTTGGCTCCATCCTACAGACTGTCTGGGAGTTGTGGTACAGATATTTTCAGCCATATTTATGGTAGTTTCCCACCTCACTTGAGGTCTGTGGGTAGCAAAAGAGAAAAGTTAGCTTTTTTTGCCTTTTCCATGCCCTCCTGTTTCTTCACTAAACCACATTCAATAAATGATCTAGGAGCTTTTACAATGCTCCATGTACAAGAACCTCACAGAGGAATTACACACAGTTCCTCCTTCCAGAGAGCTCTCCATATATTACGAGATCAATTTGGCAAAGAGAATTACAATAAAATGCAGAAGTGCTGTGAGAGAGTTGTGAATGGAATGATGTGGAAACACATACACTTATATATTGAATTCTATCCTAAGAAGTTAGGAAAAGTTTTCAGTAAGAGTTGGCATTTGAACTGAATCTTACAGGAAGAAAGTATGGTAAGATAATTAGAGGAGGATGTGATAAAAACGAGGTAATCAAAGTCACATTGAAATGTGTGAATTTGGTGGAAAGTCACTAGTTGTTGAAGGAGAGAGGTAGACAGGAATAACGTAAAAGACAGGAGCCAGGAGAAGTAGATTTAAACTAGATCATGCAGAATTATATACAAGACTAGGATTTTTACACAATATGTTATAAGCAAGTACAAGTAAGTGATGTTAATTAGGTGGATTGAAATAATGGTTGCAAGATAGAGGTGATAGAGAAATTACAGATATATTATGACAATGATATAAAGAATAAAATTGAGTAAAAAAATAGAAAGCTGTTAAACATACCAGAGAAATTATTAAGGTTGAATTAAGGTAGCAGGAACAAAAAAGAATTTCATGTAAGAAAAATCTTCAGATAGTATTGAAAAATTCATATACTGACTAGATACAAGAATAAGAGAGGTAGAAGAAAATAACTCTGAGTTTCCTTGAATGAAAGGCAGATGACAAACTGAATAATTAAGTTATAAAATACACACACACGGGGGGAGGAGCCAAGATGGCCAAATAGGAACAGCTCCAGTCTACAGCTCCCAGCGTGAGCGACGCAGAAGACGGGTGATTTCTGCATTTCCATCTGAGGTACCAGGTTCATCTCACTAGGGAGTGCCAGACACGGCGCAGGTCAGTGGGTGCACGCGCCGTGCACCAGCCAAAGCAGGGCGAGGCGTTGCCTCACTCGGGAGGCGCAAGGGGTCAGGGAGTTCCCTTTCCTAGTCAAGGAAAGGGGTGACAGACAGCACCTGGAAAATCAGGTCACTCCCACCCGAATACTGCGCTTTTCCAACCGGCGTAAAAAACAGCACACCACGAGATTATACCCCGCACCTGGCTCGGAGGGTCCTACGCCCACGGAGTATCGCTGATTGCTAGCACAGCAGTCTGACATCAAACTGCAAGGCGGCAGCGAGGCTGGGGGAGGGGCGCCCACAATTGCCCAGGCTTGCTTAGGTAAAAAAAGCGGCTGGGAAGCTCGAACTGGGTGGAGCCCACCACAGCTCAAGGAGGCCTGCCTGCCTCTGTAGGCTCCACCTCTGGGGGCAGGGCACAGACAAACAAAAAGACAGCAGTAACCTCTGCAGACTTAAATGTCCCTGTCTGACAGCTTTGAAGAGAGCAGTGGTTCTCCCAGCACGCAGCTGGAGATCTGAGAACAGGCAGACTGCCTCCTCAAGTGGGTCCCTGACCGCTGACCCCCGAGCAGCCTAACTGGGAGGCACCCCCCAGCAGGGGCACACTGACACCTCACACAGCAGGGTACTCCAACAGACCTGCAGCTGAGGGTCCTGTCTGTTAGAAGGAAAACTAACAAACAGAAAGGACACCCACACCAAAAACCCATCTGTACATCACCATCATCAAAGACCAAAAGTGGATAAAACCACAAAGATGGGGAAAAAACAGAACAGAAATACTGGAAACTCTAAAAAGCAGAGTGCCTCTCCACCTCCAAAGGAACACAGTTCCTCACCAGCAACGGAACAAAGCTGGATGGAGAATGACTTTGATGAGCTGAGAGAAGAAGGCTTCAGACGATCAAATTACTCTGAGCTACGGGAGGAAATTCAAACGAAAGGCAAAGAAGTTGAGAACTTTGAAAAAAATTTAGAAGAATGTATAACTAGAATAACCAATACAGAGAAGTGCTTAAAGGAGCTGATGGAGCTGAAAACCAAGGCTCGAGAACTACGTGAAGAATGCAGAAGCCTCAGGAGCCGAAGCAATCAACTGGAAGAAAGGGTATCAGCAATGGAAGATGAAATGAATGAAATGAAGCGAGAAGGGAAGTTTAGAGAAAAAAGAATAAAAAGAAACAGAAACGAGCAAAGCCTCCAAGAAATATGGGACTATGTGAGATGACCAAATCTACGTCTGATTGGTGTACCTGAAAGTGATGGGGAGAATGGAACCAAGTTGGAAAACACTCTGCAGGATATTATCCAGGAGAACTTCCCCAATCTAGCAAGGCAGGCCAACGTTCAGATTCAGGAAATACAGAGAACGCCACAAAGATACTCCTGGAGAAGAGCAACTCCAAGACACATAATTGTCAGATTCACCAAAGTTGAAATGAAGGAAAAAATGTTAAGGGCAGCCAGAGAGAAAGGTCAGGTTACCCTCAAAGGGAAGCCCATCAGACTAACAGTGAATCTCTCGGCAGAAACCCTACAAGCCAGAAGAGAGTGGGGGCCAATATTCAACATTCTTAAAGAAAAGAATTTTCAACCCAGAATTTCATATCCAGCCAAACTAAGCTTCATAATTGAAGGAGAAATAAAATACTTTACAGACAAGCAAATGCTGAGAGATTTTGTCACCACCAGGCCTGCCCTAAAAGAGCTCCTGAAGGAAGCGCTAAACATGGAAAGGAACAACTGGTACCAGCCGCTGCAAAATCATGCCAAAATGTAAAGACCATCGAGACTAGGAAGAAACTGCATCAACTAACGAGCAAAATCACCAGCTAACATCATAATGACAGGATCAAATTCACACATAACAGTATTAACTTTAAATGTAAATGGACTAAATGCTCCAATTAAAAGACACAGACTGGCAAATTGGATAAAGAGTCAAGACCCATCAGTGTGCTGTATTCAGGAAACCCATCTCACGTGCAGAGACACACATAGGCTCAAAATAAAAGGATGGAGGAAGATCTACCAACCAAATGGAAAACAAAAAAAGGCAGGGGTTGCAATCCTAGTCTCTGATAAAACAGACTTTAAACCAACAAAGATCAAAAGAGACAAAGAAGGCCATTACATAATGGTAAAGGGATCAATTCAACAAGAAGAGCTAACTATCCTAAATATATATGCACCCAATACAGGAGCACCCAGATTCATAAAGCAAGTCCTGAGTGACCTACAAAGAGACTTAGACTCCCACACATTAATAATGGGAGACTTTAACACCCCACTGTCAACATTAGACAGATCAACGAGACAGAAAGTCAACAAGGATACCCAGGAATTGAACTCAGCTCTGCACCAAGCGGACCTAATAGACAGCTACAGAACTCTCCACCCCATATCAACGGAATATACATTTTTTTCAGCACCACACCACACCTATTCCAAAATTGACCACATACTTGGAAGTAAAGCTCTCCTCAGCAAATGTAAAAGAACAGAAATTATAACAAACTATCTCTCAGACCACAGTGCAATCAAACTAGAACTCAGGATTAAGAATCTCACTCAAAACCGCTCAACTACATGGAAACTGAACAAACTGCTCCTGAATGACTACTGGGTACATAACGAAATGAAGGCAGAAATAAAGATGTTCTTTGAAACCAACGAGAACAAAGACACAACATACCAGAATCTCTGGGACGCATTCAAAGCAGTGTGTAGAGGGAAATTTATAGCACTAAATGCCCACAAGAGAAAGCAGGAAAGATCCAAAATTGACACCCTAACATCACAATTAAAAGAACTAGAAAAGCAAGAGCAAACACATTCAAAAGCTAGCAGAAGGCAAGAAATAACTAAAATCAGAGCAGAACTGAAGGAAATAGAGACACAAAAAACCCTTCAAAAAATTAATGAATCCAGGAGCTGGTTTTTCGAAAGGATCAACAAAATAGATAGACCACTAGCAAGACTAATAAAGAAAACAAGAGAGAAGAATCAAATAGACGCAATAAAAAATGATAAAGGGGATATCACCACCGATCCCACAGAAATACAAACTACCATCAGAGAATACTACAAACACCTCTACGCAAATAAACTAGAAAATCTACAAGAAATGGATAAATTCCTCGACACATACACTCTCCCAAGACTAAACCAGGAAGAAGTTGAATCTCTGAATAGACCAATAACAGGATCTGAAATTGTGGCAATAATCAATAGCTTACCAACCAAAAAGAGTCCAGGACCAGATGGATTCACAGTCGAATTCTACCAGAGGTGCAAGGAGGAACTGGTACCATTCCTTCTGAAACTATTCCAATCAATAGAAAAAGAGGGAATCCTCCCTAACTCATTTTATGAGGCCAGCATCATTCTGATACCAAAGCCGGGCAGAGACACAACCAAAAAAGACAATTTTAGACCAATATCCTTGATGAACATTGATGCAAAAATCCTCAATAAAATACTGGCAAACCAAATCCAGCAGCACATCAAAAAGCTTATCCACCATGATCAAGTGGGCTTCATCCCTGGGATGCAAGGCTGGTTCATTATACGCAAATCAATAAATGTAATCCAGCATATAAACAGAACCAAAGACAAAAACCACATGATTATCTCAATAGATGCAGAAAAGGCCTTTGACAAAATTCAACAACGCTTCATGCTAAAAACTCTCAATAAATTAGGTATTGATGGGACGTATTTCAAAATAATAAGAGCTATCTATGACAAACCCACAGCCAATATCATACTGAATGGGCAAAAACTGGAAGCATTCCCTTTGAAAACTGGCACAAGACAGGGATGCCCTCTCTCACCACTCCTATTCAACATAGTGTTGGAAGTTCTGGCCAGGGCAATTAGGCAGGAGAAGGAAATAAAGGGTATTCAATTAGGAAAAGAGAAGTCAAATTGTCCCTGTTTGCAGATGACATGATTGTATATTTAGAAAACCCCATTGTCTCAGCCCAAAATCTCCTTAAGCTGATAAGCAACTTCAGCAAAGTCTCAGGATACAAAATCAATGTACAAAAATCACAAGCATTCTTATACCCCAACAACAGACAAACAGAGAGCCAAATCATGAGTGAACTCCCATTCACAATTGCTTCAAAGAGAATAAAATACCTAGGAATCCAACTTACAAGGGATGTGAAGGACCTCTTCAAGGAGAACTACAAACCACTGCTCAAGGAAATAAAAGAGGATACAAACAAATGGAAGAACATTCCATGCTCATGGGTAGGAAGAATCAATATCGTGAAAATGGCCATACTGCCCAAGGTAATTTACAGATTCAATGCCATCCCCATCAAGCTACCAATGCCTTTCTTCACAGAATTGGAAAAAACTACTTTAAAGTTCATATGGAACCAAAAAAGAGCCCGCATTGCCAAGTCAACCATAAGCCAAAAGAACAAAGCTGGAGGCATCACACTACCTGACTTCAAACTATACTACAAGGCTACAGTAACCAAAACAGCATGGTACTGGTACCAAAACAGAGATTTAGATCAATGGAACAGAACAGAGCCCTCAGAAATAATGCTGCATATCTACAAGTATCTGATCTTTGACAAACCTGAGAAAAACAAGCAATGGGGAAAGGATTCCCTATTTAATAAATGGTGCTGGGAAAACTGGCTAGCCATATGTAGAAAGCTGAAACTGGATCCCTTCCTTACACCTTATACAAAAATCAATTCAAGATGGATTAAAGACTTAAACATTAGACCTAAAACCATAAAAACCCTAGAAGAAAACCTAGGCATTACCATTCAGGACATAGGCATGGGCAAGGACTTCATGTCTAAAACACCAAAAGCAATGGCAACAAAAGCCAAAATTGACAAATGGGATCTAATTAAACTAAAGAGCTTCTGCACAGCAAAAGAAACTACCATCAGAGTGAACAGGCAACCTACAAAATGGGAGAAAATTTTCACAACCTACTCATCTGACGAAGGGCTAATATCCAGAATCTACAATGAACTCAAACAAATTTACAAGAAAAAAACAAACAACCCTATCAAAAAGTGGGCAAAGGATATGAACATACATTTCTCAAAAGAAGACATTTATGCAGCCAAAAAACACATGAAAAAATGCTCATCATCACTGGCCATCAGAGAAATGCAAATCAAAACCACAATGAGATACCATCTCACACCAGTTAGAATGGCAATCATTAAAAAGTCAGGAAACAATAGGTGCTGGAGAGGATGTGGAGAAATAGGAACAGTTTTACACTGTTGGTGGGACTGTAAACTAGTTCAACCATTGTGGAAGTCAGTGTGGCGATTCCTCAGGGATCTAGAACTAGAAATACCATTTGACCCAGCCATCCCATTACTGGGTATATACCCAAAGGACTATAAATCATGCTGCTATAAAGACACATGCACACGTATGTTTATTGCAGCATTATTCACAATAGCAAAGACTTGGAACCAACCCAAATGTCCAACAATGATAGACTGGATTAAGAAAATGTGGCACATATACACCATGGAATACTATGCAGCCATAAAAATTGATGAGTTCATGTCCTTTGTAGGGACATGGATGAAATTGGAAATCATCATTCTCAGTAAACTATCACAAGAACAAAAAACCAAACACCGCATATTCTCACTCATAGGTGGGAATTGAACAATGAGATCACATGGACACAGGAAGGGGAACATCACACTCTGGGGACTGTTGTGGGGTGGGGGGAGGGGGGAGGGATAGCATTGGGAGATATACCTAATGCTAGATGACAAGTTAGTGGGTGCAGCGCACCAGCATGGCACATGTATACATATGTAACTAACCTGCACATTGTGCACATGTACCCTAAAACTTAAAGTATAATAATAAAAAAAAATACACACACACACAGAGACAGAGAGAGAGAGAAAGAGAGAGAGAATATTTAATGTTATTTTATACTTTATAATTTGAGTCATTTATAAAAATATCCAAGCAAAAGCGCCTACTGGTCAAATGACAGAACCTGAGTCTAGATCTGAAAGAAACCTTTGGTTTGTAGATAAAGACGGGAGCGTCTATGAGTGTAGAAGTAATAATGGATTACACATAGAGTACAAACTGGACTGATAAGAGAATAAAAACAATTACAAACTTCACAGAAGAGACACAGCGAGTGACTATAATTTGTAAAACAATATAGACACTCCAAAATTTGGAGGAAGGAAGGAAGAAAGGGAGGATGGAAGAGACAGGGAAGAGATAGGGAAGGGAAGGGGAAGGGAAGCAGAGGGAAGGGGAGGGGGAAGAGGGGAGAGGAGAGATAATAAAATACAGCAGGGAGAAGAGGCAAAAAAATTAGAAATGATCTGTGTTCCAGGACTCAAGAAAGAGTCTCATCTCCTTTAACACATTTTCTGTACTTCATTGGGTAGGACAGAAAATGTGTTAAAGCAGATGAGACTCTTCCTTGGCGAGGTAAAAATTAGATCTCTTTTCATATGAATTTACTTCAAGCTATAGATATCCATAAGTAATTGGTATATATCTGTTACCAAAACACCATGGGTTCTGTCTAGATCCTGCCGCTCACCACACAGGAAGCCAATCACTGAGACAATGACTATTGCCAAGGAAGAAGACTTTAATCAGGTGCTGCAGCCGAGGAAATGGGAGATCAGTCTCAAATATACCTCCCTGATCGACTAAAACTGAGGGGTTTACATAGCAGAAAAGAAGTGTAACTATGTATGAGAATAAAAGGAACTCAGTGTGGGATAAGAAAGCAATCATGATGAAGAAAGGGCCTGGCATTTCATTATCTGGATGTGATGATCTGGTTTCAGTTCTTTGATATGTTCTGAGAGGCCTGGGGATCCTTTCCTGAGGAAGGAACTCAGATAAAACAAATGTAAGTTTCAAGCTTTAAGGCCAGAAGGGTTAATTTCTGTTAATCCAAAAGCGATTGTCTATGGGACTATACATATATGTTATATATATATACACACACACACACACACACACACACACACGCACACACATATACACACAATATTTGAGTACTTTTCTTTTTTTTTCTGGACTTGTGTCCCTTGCTAAATGTTTCACTATTGGCTATTCCAGAAGGTAAAAATGACATCTGACCTGATTGGGAAGAATTGTAATTCTTATATGTGCAAAAACAGATGAGAGAGGATTTGCACTTTCAGATAAGTGTAACCAATCTAAATGTATTGCATTATATACAAACCACACTACACCAGATGACAAGAGATGAGAAATTCAGAGGCAGCTCCAGCATTACAAGTTGTGTGAAGATGGGCATGCACTATGCCTTCAAACCTTGGTCTTTATGTTCATAAATAGCTATAAATATACCTTCCTTAACATCTCATAGCTCTCATGGTAATCATGTGATGTCAAATATGAGAAAATTTTTAATAATCTGTAAAGTATTGTTAGGTACTCTTAGGTATTATGAAAAATTGTGCCCACTGTTCAGATCTTTATATCTCCCTGTGTACCTAACTATTGGAATCATATGTCAAAATGAAAGGCCTCTTCATTTATGTATAAAGATATTGTATCATCCAAATATTCAAGTTCATGTACACTGTCCATAACATAGTATATGCAAGAATAATATATATCAAAAATCTGAAAAAAATCATAATCGTGCTATCTATTTAACATTAGGCTTATGCTCAGGCATATGCATAAAATGATAAGTAATTCATAAAATGAGTCAACACTTCATCTGGTACATAAGCTTGCAATTGCACACAGAGATTTCATGTGTGGAATTGCTCTGAAAAGCACTGTTCTGTAAAGATAATATTTAGAAAATAAATATCTGATCATATATTGTTAACTGTAATACAAAAGCAAGTAGAAATAGCTCCGTAAACAATACTGTCATAATAAGGAGCAAACTGTCATAATAAGGAGAAAAAATTGAAACTATTTTTAAAATAATAGGCAAAATAGAATGTGTTCTTCAAACCTTGTGGATTTTATACTGAAAACTTCCAGAGATATATCTTAGGTAATTATAAGACCAAGCACAACAACAACAACAAAATCCTAACTTGAATCCATCAGTTGCAGATTTCATGGCTGAGTACATCAAGAAGAAGTTGCAAACTCTAAAAGCTGGAAGGCCAGTCAATATCAGGAACTCCTCAGAAGTGAATGAAAAGCAGTTTAAATTTGTTTAACAAAACCATGTTTTCAAACTAACTTTAATTTATGCATGAGGGCCATTAAATTTGTTCTTTTTAAAAAGGAAACTTCTTAATTGGAACTAATCATTCATTATTCACTGTGATACAGGTTATATACTCTTAGGTTCCATGTGATTATTCACATGTTCAGCTGACAGAAAGGAGACAAAGCTATTCTAATGACTTAGCTTTGCTTTGACTCATTGGTTTTTATCTCACTTTAACTTCCAATCTCGGTTACAAAGAGTGTTAAAACTGGAAGAAATAACATTTTGGTAGATGGTAAAGGATAAGTACGAGTCATTTCAAGTTGTTGAAGCTTTCATTAAATAAAGCAAGCTATTTGAAATCTTAAAGCTATTTAAATAAAGGGCTAAGACGTTTCTGTTTTATATACTTAAGAGCTTAAAAGATACTGTTGAAAATTTAACTGTTAATCTATTGTAGGGTGTGGTTAGACATTTATTTTGACAGTGCTCACTGAAAATTCAATTATACCCCCAGAGTCAAACTTGCCCGTCATCAAAATGTCTAAAGATCTGAGTGTTTATGGGGTAACAACAAACCCCATACTAAACAGTTTGCCAGAAATCTGTCCTACAACATCTAAATGGAACAATTGGGTGGTTGTCTAAGGCACCTAAACTCAATATGATGTTTTAGCTAAAAAGAGTGAAATTATACCTAAGCACTTCATGCAAGTTACCAAAAGAGAAGATATTCTTTAATAAAAAAGTACATTTGTAGAATAAAAGAATCTCAGTGTTGTAAGAAATATTTGAGATCATTTCAGTTAGGCTTTTCATTTCTTAAATTAGAAACTGAAGCTGAGATTAAACAGCTAATAAAAAGACAAAGTTGATCCATGACATTGGTTTGGGCGATGATTTCTTAGATATGACCAAAAATGCACATACAACAAATGAGATTACATCAAACTAAAGAGCTTCTATACAGCAAAGAAAACAATTAACAGAGTGAAGAGTGACAACTCACAGAATGAGAGAAAATATTTGCAAATCATAGGTCTGATAAAGAGTTAATATACAAAATATACAAGGAATTCAACTCAATAACAATAAAACAAATAACCCTGTTAAAAAAATGGGCAAAAGACCTGGACAGATATTTCTCCAAAGAAGACATACAAATGGCCAGTAGAGATATTAAAAGGTGTTCAATATCACCATTGATTAGGAAATGCAAATTAAAATGAGATTTCACCTTACTCATTTTAGAATGGCTATTACAAAGAAAAATGAAAGACAAGTGTTGGTGAGGATTTGAAGAAAAGAGAACACTTGTAAAATGTTGATGGGAATGTAAATTAGTGCAGCCATTATGGAAAACAGAAGGGAGGTTTCTCAAAAATAAAAAAAATATAATTACTATATGACCCAGAAATTCTACTTCTGGGTGTATACTCAAATGAGTTAAAATCAGTATGTTGACTAGATATCAACACTTCCATGTTCATTGCAGCATTATTCACAATAGCCAAGATATGGAAACAATCTAAGTGCATATCAAGGGATGAATGGATAAAGGAAATTATATATACATATTTATAGTGTATATACACAATGGAATACTATTCAGCTTTTAAAAAGGAGAAAATTCTGTCATTTGTGAAAACAAAGAAAAATCTAGAGGATCGTATGTAAAGTGAAATAAGTCAGGTACAGAAAGACAAATACATCATGATCTCACTTACACGTGAAAAGTAAAAAATGTCAGACTCATAGAAGTAAAGAGTAGAATGATGGTTACCAGAGGCTGGAGGAGGCGGGATAGACAGAAAAAGAAGATGTATTTGTCAAATGGTACAAGGTTCAGCTAGATAGGAGAAATAAGTCCTAGTGATCTATTGAGCAATAGGGTAATTATAGTTAATAATAATGTATTATATACTTCAAAATTGCTAAAAGAGTATATTTTAAGTGTTCTCACCATAAAGTAATGATAAATATGTGAGTTGAAAGATATGTTAATTCACCTGATGTAAATGTTCCACAATGTATACATGTATCTTAACATCAATATTGTATGTTATAAATACATATAATTAATTATCAAATAAAAAATTAAGATGGAGCTGAGCCAAGAATCCAAGACTCTGAATTTAGATTTTTCATTTTCTATTATGCCAAAGTGTTTCCTGAAAATTAAAATTGAATATGGCACGTCCAAAAGAATACGTCATAAGAAGACAGGAAAGGGGGGACTGCTGCATATACTCATATTTTTAGTCAGTTGTGTAAGATCTTATTAGAGGAAGAAAATCAGATATTTTAAGAAAATTCTTACAACTCCCATTATACTGAAATTTTATGGCAAACCTAAAACCTTCAAAATATAGGGTTTTATTTAAAGTGAATCATATATTTGCAAAGTTTTTATTGAGATTATGAAAGCAAAATCTCTCAAAGTAGCAAAACATAAGTATATATTTTAGACTGTACTGTGCAGAATAGCAGAATGGTACCAATGGCAAAGAAATTTTCAAAAGAAATAAAAATTATTGAGGTCTCATCCCAGCTCTACTAATCTATGTCTTAGCAACCTAGTGTAATTCCTACAAATTCTGAGCATTGCCTTTAATGTATCTGCATGGTTCCCACATCATTTCATAAACTTCAAATACTCACACTTTATAATTGAAACAATATACAAACTATATTATTAAATAAGCTATGGTATGATATTCTCAATCTACCCTATAAGGATACTATCTTCCTGTCAGAAAAGTTGAGACTCTCCAATACATATTTACTAGCCAGATTTTTTTTTTTTTTTTTTTTTTTTGAGACGGAATCTCTCTCTGTCGCCCAGGCTGGAGTGCAGTGGCACAATCTCGGCTCACTGCAAGCTCTCCCCAGATCTTAATTGTGGAATCTCCAGACAGTGTCCAGTCAGAAATCCATTATTAGTTTTGCCTCATGTTCCCTAACCACCTTCTCTTTACCTTCAATCTTAAGCCCCAAAATGAAAGTTATTATTCTTGGCTCAATTATCCAAATTCTTTGAAGGGAACTGGTGACACTATAGCCTATCTTTACCTGCCGCCTTGTGATCCAGGCTTCCTAGGTATCTGTGAATATTCACATTAGGTTACCTGGACTCCATAGAGGCAGCACCAACAAAAAACATAATTGGGATATACACCACTTTTAGACTTTCAAATACATGCCCCACCTTATAATATGTGAACTGATTATTCACTTCTAGACATTCAACTTTCAAACAGTTATGCTCTGTATTAAACATCAACATCCTCCTTCCCTTTCATTGAAAGGACACCGGGAAAACAAAAAGATGCAAGGGAAAGTTCACACATAAGGATAATCATTTGTGATAATGGTGACAATGATCCCTATTTCTTTTTCTGCTCTTATGAATTTGCAAATGTCCTACAAACTAAGTGTATTAAATGAATCTGTGAAAGTTCATCTAAGTCCCTAGTATTATTTTTTTCTTACTCTCTAGAAAGTCATAGCCTCGTAGCTCAAAGCCAAATAGAAAAGATGCAAATCATTCGTAGGACAAGGGTTGATGCAGCTTTCAATTACTGAATACATTTTTAGCCATTTAAAACTAAAAGAAAAGTAATGTCGGTAATCCCAGCACTTTGGGATGCCGAGGCGGGTGGAACACAAGGTCAGGAGATCGAGACCATACTGGCTAACATGGTGAAAACCCGTCTCTACTAAAAAATACAAAAACAAAAATTAGCCGGGCATGGTGGTGGGTGCCTGTAGTCCCAGCTACTCGGGAGGCTGAGGTGGGAGAATGGCTTGAACCGGGGAGACGGAGCTTGCAGTGAGCTGAGATCGTGCCACTGCAATCCAGCCCGGGCAACAGAGCCAGACTCCATCTCAAAAAAAAAAAAAGAAAAGTAACAAAACTCTTTTCCTCTTTTTTTATGATTTAAATTTTACTTTAGGTTTGAAAAGTGAGATATATATCACTTAACAGTCAGGAAGCGTGTAGTAAACTCAATCTCTGAACCGACATTACCTAAAACAGAGATGTTCGTTTTCTTATACTCATCTCTAAAATAGAGGTAGACAGAGAAAGTGCTGCTTTTTTAGAGATTGTAATGAATTCAAACATATCCATTAATATTATAGCAGTTATTTTGGTTTCACAGTGAAACATAAAAAGTTCTATCTTATTGGAAAGAAAACCAAGTAGCTACCTAAGTACTTGATGAGAAGGAATTTGTTCTACTGTTTTAAGTGCATGAGGGATAAAGCAAGACTTAGAAATATTTTTGTTAGACCGTTTCATTTTAATAGTATTTTCTGTTATAACAGAAATGACCTACAGTAAAATAATTCAAAATACCCTTCCTTCTGAAGGTGATTTCCACATAAAATTGTAACATTACTATGATCTAAATTTAAATAAAATTTTCTATTGATGTTAAAAGTTTGATAATACACAGTTTGTTAAAGTGGTTTGGTCACTATTTGGGTATGATCAACTTCAAACCATAGGTGTTTAAATGAACCAAAGTCTTTGGTTTATTTCTATAGCTTTTTGTCTAATTTTATTAATAACTAGTATACCAGTCATTCATATACAGTCATAACTGGCCAACCAAGGTTTACTTCGTAGGAGGGTGACAGTTTACCCTTTAATACCACCTAATTAAAATACACAAAATGTTCTACACAAATAACAGCAAATTGTTTATTTCTAAGAACATAATTTTCCTTTTATAGGAAGCTCTCAACATTAATTTGGAGCCACATTTTAATTTTATAATGTAATCATTCAGTAAATGGTCATTAGATATTGGGTTATTTGGAAAATTGTAAAAAATCAGACTTCTGACCATGTCCTTTAAAATAATTAACTTAGCTGGAAACAGTAAAGCAAGACTTAAAAATACAAATCATAACATGAAAATTCAAATGATTGTATACTAAAACAATTGTATGCAAATAATTAAGAACAGTGACTATAATAAAAAAGTTTAATAGATTTGACAAAACATTTAAAGAATATAACTTACATATATGAAAATAAGACATCAAAACTTGAATTGAAGCTGTCAAACTGTGAAAAACAGTAGTAAACAATAAAAATCACTTACTCATTGGAAACACTGCAAAATGTCATTAAATCATTTCAGAAATGAAGGTACATTAATGAAAAATAATCATAGTTTTTAACTCAGTCTCACCTCACCTTTAAGAAACACACAGTATAAAACAGCAATAAATGGGATAATTTATATTACTGCAACAAAATGCAAATATATATATTGTATACGAGCACCCTCTCTTCAATGTATACTTTAACCCAATAGCTTTCTACCACTAGAAATTTATCAGAAGAAAATAATGGTGGCTTAATACCAGCACTATAATACCAGCCCTCTGATAGGCTGAGGCAATAAGGTCAATTGAGTCTAGGAGTTCCAGATCAGCCTGGGCAACATAGTGGGATTCTGCTTCTACCAAAAAATAAAAATAAAAAATAAAAAATGCCAGTCATAGTGGCTGGCACCTGAATCTTTGCTGCTTGGGAGACTCATATGAACCTAAGCTGATTTGAGCAGGAATATAATTTCAGTCCAGGAGGTTGAGTCTGTAGTGAGCTATGATCATTCCATCGCTGCAGCCTGGGCGACAGAGCAAGACCCTGTCACATACACAAAAGAAAATAATTCAGAATGTGCACAAAAATGTATAAAGATGTTTCTGAAAGTTGCATTTGTAATACTGCAAAATCAATGCCACATTGAGACAGAGGTACCAAGATTAAGCTGGAGTCACCACTGACAATTGAAATCTGGAGTCAGAATGCTGTATCTAAGTGGGACAACAGTTTCTTTCCTGCAGCCCACCATTACCATGCAGCAAAGTTGCTCTATTACTTCTGAATTTTCCACATTTTTAAAGAAAAGCAGAAAATCCAGTTTCTAAGACAAAAATCAAGTTACAAGTATTGACAGAAAAATCACTTTTAAATAATTGTAAACAGTAACAACACACTTTAACAGTAAATCTAATTCAGCCTGATACCAGGCTGTACCAATAGATACAATGAAACTGCATAATATTGGTAAAACAATTGTATGGTAGAAAAATACTGGCATAAAAATGTTCATAGCAAATTCATAAATGGAAAAAGTAGTCTGTTTTATTTAAATAAAAAGGAGCTAGATGAATTGCAGACAACCATGTATTAATAGTTACATCTTTCAATTTTAGAATTAATATACTTTATTTTTTGAGTTTTCATTATTGTGATGTATTATGCTGAAATTAGCAAAAAAAAAAAAAAGAGTAACTCTCTGAGTGATACAGAAATTTGTAATGAGAAATAAGGTGTGTCCCTAACCAACCCACCTATGTGTCAGTTTGAAGGTAGCAAGAAAATTTTTATCACAGTCAGGGAGAATGGGAACCTGTGATATGTGGCAGTGACATATTGATAACACTGTGCACTGAGGTGACTTGAGAAGTATTTGTGTACCTAACGATTTCCAGTGTCATAAAACATAGGTAAGAACACTGAATATTAGCACTGGTTGATATTTGGTCTCTACAATAGTGAGTATGGTGGTTACTTCTAGATGTCAACTTGAATAGACTAAGTGTTGCCTAGATAACTAGTAAAACCTATTAAAGTGTTATTTAATATAGTATTGTAGAATATACATTAAGTACATTATTATGTTACATGTATTATAATGTAACACATTATAATATATTAAAGACATTATTACATTAATACATTACTTAGTATAGTATTACTTAATACATTAAAATGGTAGCTAAGCTTGAAGAATCCCTGAGCAGACAAACCCAGTTAGACCTCATAAGCAACCTCTCAACCTTGCTTGCTTTGCAAACATAAACAAAACTTCAGGTATTTTTTGTAAATGCCTATATGAAAGAAAAACAGAACTTTCTTTTTCTTTCCAAATAGGAGTGTTTACTATAGTTTTCCTATTCCTGTATCACATTACACACTGAGTGTGTGGGAGAGCAGAGAGATTTAATTTACAAGTTTTAGATCAAGAGAGCATAACCAGATCCCAGGTTAAGACTTAACACTACAGAATGCTCACATTAGTAATACTCGTCTTATAAAAAGATATACTCTTCACTGTAATTGCTGCAAACAATAAAATACTGTAAAATAATATGCAGTGTGTTTGTGAAAGGTCAATAACATGCTTATATTTTTGCTGTTGAAAAACTACACAAAAGCAAATGACTAGAACAGTAGACCAATTAGTATCAGTAGAATTATACCATCAAACATTCCACTGAGCTTGAATGTAAGATCTGACATAACCAGATAATTCCATGGCAGGGCAATAAACTGCATTTACATTCTCTTTCTAACAATTAGTGCAAGCATATCCAGATAAACTATATTGATTCTACATTATCTTAGAGTGAAATCACCTAATAACTTCTTCAGTACTCTTTCTTTTAATTTTTATCCTAATTATCTGTCTGAAAATGATCTTTTAAATTGGGAAAACTGATTACATTACATCCTTCAGTTCAGAGTAGCATTGGGTAACGACATTTTGGCTGCAGACAAATCACTCTTTCACAGTCATCAGCTTTTAGAACATTCTTAGACTTTGTTTTCCATCTAAACTTTTCAGTTAATTTTACTCTAACTTTTAATTGATGTTACTGAGTAGCAAACGAGACTGAAGGACACTGCTTTGTTTTAAAAAAATGAAGAAAGAAAGGCATGTGAATCCTATAAATGTAATTCTAATGAAATCAAGATAAAATATAGTGTTTATAGAAAGAAATACAATTATTTCTAATAACTGCTTTCATTTCAAACAATTTTCAACAAGTTAGTGACATAGAATAAATACAATTCTAGAAGAATCCAGGATTTTTTTTCTATTGCATTGCTGTTTATTAAATTATAGCTACTTGAAGGCTTTGAAAAATTGAACACCAGTAAAACTGTCCTTCTTTTGTTAATATGTTTTGTTTTCTTGTTTCATTTTTAATTCAACTAGTCATTCACCAGAAAAATTTACTGAGGTAAACTTTTTTGATTATCCTTTCATAGCATTTAACACAAGTGTTATTTGTTGTAGTCTTTTGTATATGAATCTATTAATGCTGAGAAACTGAACATTCCTAGGAGTGTCCTAATAGGAAATAAAAATTAACAATTTCAACTGTACTGTTACTTAAATAAATATTCATATAGTTTACCTTTCAGTATCATGACAAACACTTTGATTATATAAGAAGGTCTTTGTATACACATCAAACTACCAAGAAGTCGTATCTGATTTTGTGCTTTTCTACTACTCTTCCCCAAAACACTTGTTCAAAATGTTTACTTTTAAAGGGTCTGAACTGTGTGTCAAGCACTGACATCAGCATGTTACCTGAATTATCTCATTAAAGTCTTGTGATACTCATGTGGTATTAGCGGTGAAGAAACTGAAGCACAGAAGCTTCAAGTAAAATGTCCAGTTTTAGAGAAACTAAACAGTAGAGTCTGGAAGCCCAATTACTGACCTTGTACAATTGCCCAGTATTGTGTACTGACCTAAAAAGGCCTATGAGATATCAACCCATTAAGATCCATGACATAAAGAAAATTGTTTGTCCTACAATATCCCAATCTGGATGAAGGCAGATAAAGAGAATGTGCTTAGGCATGATGACAAAAAAATAAGAAAGAACTGTGAATGCACTTTACAAAACAGAAAGGAACACAAGGGAGTTTGGAACCAAGTTGAAAATTAAACATGTTCATGTGCACATAACAAAAGCGTGATCGTAAATAAACTGTGTCAACACTGTACTGTGAAGGTGAAACTTTCTTTTTAGGATCAGCTAAACCCTGTATAACTTGTAAAAAAATGCAACCACGTATGTTGATGTACTAAACCCAATATTTCTTTTGGCTTATATACTAAAAGCAGCAATTCTTTCCTGTAATGAAGAAAAAAACACAGGCATCAAGGAGTAATAAAAATAATGTCTTAGAGTATAAAATACAGAAACACCAATTAAGGCTTTTTTTTAACATAATACATGTAAAAACTGCATCAGAATTTTAAAAAAACTATAGCGTCATTGGTTCTGGCAATAAGCAACCACACTCTGCTGGAGGTAACTTTAGTAACGTCAAACAAAAGTCTTAAAATTATGACAGGTGGTATTCATTTAAAATATGCTCAAGAGCTATTAGAAATCAAGAACACAGTATCTGGACCCTTGATTTGAATCCACACTCAATCTCTTTCTAACTGGGAAATTTTGGACAAAGTTTTAAACTTTCCTGAACATAAAATGCCTAGCTTGCAATAACTTTAGAAAATACTAGGAGTTTGTAAAGTTACGAGAATCAAATTAGTTAATAAATGTAATGTACTTAAAGTAATAACTGGCACAAAATAATTATAATTCATTATTATTTTTCAATATCTAAATTCTCTAGCTTGTAGCTATTTTGAGCATATTTGAAAATTTCTAATATGTGTTTTTGATTACTTATCATGTAGAAAAATATAGCTTTCCAGATGAAAATGTAGTATCCAATGTAGAAGTCACATATAATATTTATTAAACTGGAATGCTATCATTTTAAATTATTTTGAAGCTCATTAAAGTAAGTCTGCACTGGCCAACTTTTTATTTATTAATTAAATTTTTGCCTAGCACAGTTAATCTCCTTTTCTAAGACTTAATTCCCAAACCTATAGTCTTTCTTTTCCCATTTGGAGATGGGTAGGAGTACTATTCCTTTCTTGCCCAACCCTTCCTCTATTTTCATTATAATAACCAGTATGCCCTTGCCTAAGCATATGCCCCCAGTTAATAATACAGATTCACTGTACTGTTTCACCAAATTTAACCCGTTATTTTTGGAAATAGGATGTTTAAAAATGGGTTTGTTATTCCTTAATACATGCCAAATGTCATCAGTATATTGTGGTCCAGATGTATTCTAAATACCAATTGAAAAACATTCTTAAAGCTAAGAACACATGACATATTTCACAAAGTGAATAACTGTGAGAAGCTTGGGAATTGTAAGCATTCTTGAAAAACTATTTTTTTTTTTGCATGTGTGTTACAAGCATTTGCACAGGTTATATATTTTATAGCTCTAGTTATAAAAATAGAGAATAGATTATATTCCCTCACATTTGTACAAAATGGTCAGCAAGAATACACATCTACAGAAGTTTAAAGTATTTACTCTTTTTTTAGTTAATACATGTTTCAGAACCTTAAAGAGAGCAAATCATAATGCCCATTGATTATAATGTCACATTTTAGTTATTACATTATTACATTTACTTATTATAACTTTTAGAATTTTAGGAGGAAAACAATAATTCTGAGTGGAAATTTGAATATTTGCACCCTAAAAATTTTCAATTCCATTTTCAATAATGTAGTAGAATGTTTCCTAGAGACATAAGACAATTAAAAATATGAAGTACTAGGTTTTCAAGTATATTGCAAAGCCATAAATAATATATAATCTAGCAGTGGTACAATAATTAATATATTATTTTTCAATTATATTAAGTTTTAAGAACTCAATGCTCCTAAAATTTTTAAATAATACTATATAAAATACAACTCAAATGATATCAGCTCAAATTCATGTATACCTCTTTGCAGCTAAAGTCTTTTAAAATTAAAAATAATTTAAAATTTTGTCATACATTTATGAACCCATTTTAAAGAACATAACATGTCATGCAAATGTTAATTTAATACATAATGCATTAGTAAAAACTGTTCTGAATATATATATATTATGTTTATGTTAGAAAACCATTTTTAAACAGGAATTAGATTCTATTGATTCATCAAATTATTAATCACAACATTGCTAAACTCAATTTTTACTCTCCTAAGCATATTGGAATCTAGGAGAATGTACAGTAGAGATAATAATATGAATAGAATTTAACTTATATGTTTTAGCAAAGAAGAAATAAAAACTGGAAAATTATGGGTTTCTAACATGTCTATTTGTTAGTTGTCCTTTTAAAAATTTCTTTATAGAAGCATTTTGAGTGAAGCCCACAGATTATTTAATAATTTATTAATTATTCAAAAAAGTCTGTCCTTGTTGGCAATGTGGAAAACCACACTGCCAACAGAGCAATGGTCCCCGCACCCCAGAGCAGGGGTCCCCCACCCCAGGGGCTGCAGACCAGTTACCTGTTCATGGCCTGTTAGGAACTGGGCCTCACAGCAGGTGGTGACCTGCGGGAAAGGTAATGGTGGGTGGCATTACCACCTGAGCTCCACCTCCTGTCAGAACTCAGAGCGGCATTAGATTCACATAGGACCAGGAACCCTATGGTTAGCTGCGCATGTGAGGGATATAGGTTGCACACTCCTTATGAGAATCTAAAACTAATTCCTGATGATGTGAAGTGGAAGAGTTTCACATAACCCCCATCCCCACAATCCACTCACCCAGCCATCCCTGGTCTGTGAAAAATTTTCTTCCACAAAACTGGTCCCTGGTGCCAAAAAGTTTGAGGACTGCTGTGTTAAGGTGAAAAAGGGTACATGTGGTAATTACAAAAAAAAAAGTTCAATAAATATAGGAAAAAACTCTAACATCATATGTATATGTGGACATATATACTAACATATACATGATTTTCTGATTTGAAGAATGTATAAAAAATGAGGAAACGACATTGAAACCCTTTTTAAAGATCATTCATAGTTAAATATAAATATACTCTCGTTCTCTCTCTATATATATTTATATATGTATATATAATAAATATTTATATATGTATATATAATATATATATAAATTGTATATATAATGTATATATAATATATATAAATTATATATAATGTATATATATTATATATATCTATAAATATATATATTATATATATTATATATATCTATAAATATATATATTATATATATTATATATATATACATTTTATGTAGACAGGGTCTCACTATGCTGCCCAGGCTGGTCTTAAACTCTAGCTCAAGTGATCTGCCAGCCTAGGCCTCCCAAAGTGCTGGGATTACGGGCATAAGCCACTGCGCCTGGCCCACAGTTAAATATCTTAAGTCAAAACTGATAATTGTACTTCCTTTCACTTCTTCTCTTCATTCTTGAAAGGAATTCAACACTGAAAAAGAGGTGGAGACCTAACTGAGGCATTCACAAATAAGAACTTTAGAAAAATGAAAAAACATAGTTATATAAATCATTTCTAATGATTTGTTCATCTTCAAAACATAGGCCAATATTTCTATTTTACCCAACTTTACTCAGCTGTAGGATGCAGTCCAGAAACATCTTAGTGTAAGAGTATTTTTCATAAAATGTAAGATATTTTATTTAAATTGAATGGCTGATCAACCATAAGAATTCCACTGTAAAGTAACCAAAGAAGTACAATTCTTAGAAGACTATCATGAAATAGTTTTATGAATTAAAGAAAAAGTAATCACTTCTCACCAGGAATCAAACTTTTAGTTGGCATAGCATAAAATAATTTCTCACACTGGCAAAAGAAAAACCTCCAGAAACTGCAGGCAAATGTCCTCTCCCCACTCCCACTCCTAAATAAAATACGGGCTGGACCGAGGCATTATGATTTCTCCTGCCTCTTGGATTTGCTCTCTGTACCACAGAGCTGTCTTCTAGTCTAATCCCACTCATAAAACTGAGCAAATGGCATACCAAGAAATGGCATACCAAGACAGAGCATCTAACATGTGTTTGACATTTCTGAAGCATCTCAAGTCCCTGGATTCCGCCTCCTGTTTTCCATATTTTCAAACATGTTCTCGAACATGTGTTTGACCTTTCCGAAGTATCGCTAGTCCCTGGATTCCACCTCCTGCTCTATATATTTTTTAACGTTAATGTCCTATTCTCATTGTTAAAATGTGAGTTTCTACACAAGTTATTTCTTATTTGTACCCGAAGACTTTGAATAGGCTCTGGCACTCCCAGACACAGGATATCAAACAGATTCAGGCCTTAACTAGGTCGTAGGACTGGACTTACATACAAGTGGCTGTGGTTTGTGAGACTAGGTTGTAGTGGTTTTTTTGTTGTTGTTTTGTTTTTTCATTTTGTCTAAGGACTTGAAAACCTTCAGGGGAGACGTGTGTTAAGATTTGTCTTCTTCTAGTGATCTTCTTTTAAAACACAAATCAATCCTGTTAAGGAATCCATTAAATCACTATTAGTGTGAATGGATTTTTTTGGGTAGTATGGATGAATTCAATGTAAATGCAAATGTAGTATGTGGAAGAAGAGCCATTCTCATTCTATGAACATAGGACAGGGATGAGAATATATATAACACTATAGTTAATGAAAAATATATATTTCTGATTTATGTGAAATCAATTCAAGAGATTATATATACATATTCTATAGATATAATATGATTTTCATCAGAGCACAGAGGATGAAGAGAGAAGAGAAAAGATAGGAGTGGTGGCTACTAGATCCTCTTGGGGGATTATTTTGAAAAAGGCAGTCTTTGGCAATAAATGGGCACTAACACCTTCTAATAGATATCCATTGGCTTGAAGAAAAAAAGTGTCAGAAAATTTATCATTGGAGAAAAGTCAATGTTTCCATTAGTATTAATGTAGCTAAAGATGGCTCAAGGGTAAAATTATTCAAAATACTATGCATCACAATAGTGGCATCCTGTGGACTACTCTCTCTCTCACCCTATGGGGAAAGGGGCTATGTGAAAAGAAAATGAATTTCTAGAGCAGCAAAACAAAATTCTTTATATTTTTTTACATAGAAATTGATTGTGTTTGCCATCAGTTGTGTAATTATTTTACAAAGAAGCCCTTGAACTGTGGCAGAAATTCTGGATGCTCTGTCACTATGTGTCAATCTCAATATATCAATCATAATGCCTGTGATTTGTGGTTAATATGAAGCAAAAACAAACTTCTCTTAGGTTAAGTTTATTTTCCGAGAATTAAACTAGTTTCCTAATTTTTTCCCCAGGGTTCCAAATTCTTAGTGTAACACCAACCAAATATCAAAAGAGATTATTAGAGCTTCAATAAAAAAAATTAAAGAATAAGCTTATAATTCACATTATTCCATTACATGCATTATTAGAGAGGACGTTTCATTAAAGCATGCAAGCTGCATTTTTTTTTAATTTCGACATGTAGATAGTTTAAACTAGAAGCCACCCGACACTTTGATATAGCATAAGACAACTGGGAAATGTCAGTTGACTAAAGTGGTTATTTAAAGAAAATAAGCAAATACAATATTCTTTTTGTCTATTGATATGTGATGCTGCACTGTTATTGGGCAAACTTTTTAATTAATAGAAAACTCTAATGCTTATGATGACAAAAACATGTTCTGTAAAATAGCACTGTATATGAAAATAGTACAAAAGGGGGAAATTAGAACTCTGACACCACAGTGTCAATGAACATCACACAGATTGAAGACCACAGTAATGAATGACCAACATCGTTAGGCTGGAAAGAGTGGGAAAAATTAAGAATTTCATGTAGATGTTATTTTCAAAAATAGACTCAATAAAATGACCAGACTCACCATTGGGTTCAGAACGTGATCAATCATCTCTTTCACTTTTATGTTACCTTTGTGAAGTTTTATTAATGGAAATGAAGAAATTTACTAGAAAAAAAATGATTGTAGGCACTGTTAAATTTACTTTCTCTTTGTGTAATTTCGTGAAAGTGACCTGAACTGCTTTGCATTTGTAGGGAAAAAGATAAATATGTAAATATATGAAATTAAAAGGTGAGAATAAATTTAAAAAGTTTTTCTCTCTCCAGTGAGAAAGTGATAATCATAATGTTTAGTTAAAGCTATCATCTAACCAAAGCCATCAGTACACTGATTTTTTTTTAACTTAAGATTTTAATAATGCTGAAGCATTTCTGTCACCTCAGTATTAGTGCTTCCTGGTTTAAATCTCAAAGGGCCACCATCCAAGGCTGCAAATATACAAATGATAAAATTTTGGTATTTGAGAATACCCATCTTCTAATAGGACAGCCATGACAATAATAATGGCATTGATAGAAGAAAACAAGAAAATTTCAAAAAGATAAATACTAGGGAAAGTTTTTAGATTAACATGCAAGTATGACACCCTCCCTCACAAAAATCAAGTTCATTAACACTAAGCCTGTAAATTTCATAGAATACTTCTTGAACTAGCAGAACTGGAATCACCCATCCTGTTAGATATGCAATTAATTGGACCCTCTTGAAACAGTATCTTGTGTGTTAGGAGTTGTAAATCTCAATTGTTAAGCATCTTCAGGCACTAAACTTTGAGAAAAACTGTTCTAGAGCCTGGAACTAAACAGTTTATTTGAAAGTCAATAGTTACAAATGAGATCTGTTCTTCCCTCCTTGGGATTCTAAAGTCTTTTCAAAGCATTTACCAAGCAAAGAATCTGCCCTTTGAGATAAACCTGCTCATGCAGATTTAAGATAAGGTTGATTTCCGCTGAAGATAATCCATCTTCTACACACACACTCTCTCTCATACACACACCTCTCAGATTTTTGTTTTATTTCCTCCTCTTCTACACTGTCCTAATTCTCCTTAAGTACTGTCCATCTTCCTAATTTAGTCCTACTCTCACCACTTTCGTGGTACTCTGGTCTCCCTATACTCTCCATGTCCTCCAACACACCTGGTTCAGCAGGAAGCCTAGGCATACGTAGTATATACCCAGGAAATGTATAAACTATACTGTCAGAGGATTAATTTATTTTAATTCAGGGCAACCCAACTGTGAGCTGCCCTAAGAGAAAGAATACAAGTAACAAGGGCCATTGCACAGAGGGAGATTTAAGTTCAGACTGGAAGCTACAAGTGTACAGAAGCAAGAGAGAGAGAAAGAGAGAGAGAGAGAATAAATAAATAAATAAATAAATAAAATAAAAAAGCAAGCAAGCACAAAGCAGCAGCAGCAGTTCAAGTTCCAGATTCCACTAGTTGCAGTTTAATGTAAAGGGATCCTTGCAGAGGAGAGATGGTAATGTTAGTAAGGCCAGATCTTGGATCTTGCCTCCCACTGCTTTATAGGATATCCCGAAATCTACAGCACGCATGTGTGAAAAAGTGGATAAAACCGTCTAATATTATTCTATTCCCACAAATGAGATCAGAAATAAAATGTACAGTAGTGTCTTTATGGAACCAAGTATTTCAAGATCTGAATACTAACGGGTTCATTTATTTCACTGATTACTGTATGTAGATATGAAATTCCAGGCACTGATTTTTCATTAAACCACTCTCTTAAGGTTAACTTGCCGCTCTCTTTACACCTATGAATCCATATGCTTGCCACGTAAATTGTAATATTGATTTTTAACATTTCCCCACAGTTCAAAAATATTGTTTGCCAAAAATCAAGGGCCTTTTCTAACAATTCATGTAATTCCTGTTATTAGCTAATGTGTAAGAGTTGGGAACAATTAAACATACTGTATACAAAATCTTACCATGCTGAATTGCACCCAAGATACTAGTTCAGTCATCCTTCAAATTACCTCACAACTAAAAAGGATCAGATACTTAAATAAAAACTTTAGGCAAGGTAGGAAAGAAGTCTTTTATCATCCCTGTATATTGCAAAAGTGTTCCATTCTCTCTAAATTCACATTATATTTATTAATGAGCAGCACATGGAAAGAAAGAAAATGAGAGAGAGAGAAAGAAGGAAGGAGAGAAGGAAGAGAAGATAAAGAAGGAAAGAAGTCAGGATGGTAGGAAAGTGAGAGACAGAAAGAGAGCTAGAGCTAGAGATAACGATGAGAGAGATAAAGGAGAGAAACTCTAATGTCTTTGATATCCTCCAACTTAAAAGAGAAGGATGTAACCCCCCACCCCCTCCCCGTTTACATATAATGGAACAAGCCAAGTCTCCATTCACTACATGTGGACATTAAGAAAACTTGCATGGGGAAAACTTTTGGGGGGAAATGAAGGTGATTTCTGAGCTGCTACTGCAGTTGTATATGACACTGACATTTATTTCCCATAATTCTTGCCCACAGGAAACACAACCTTTAAGAAACTGAATAAAATCAAGTTGGACATTCTCAAAATCTGCAAGGTATCAACTTCCCCGAGAAGCTCACATTCCCCCAACACAAACACATACATGTAAGGAGCGAGACATTCAGGCGATGAGCTTTGAAAGGTACTTCCACCTTGTGAGGGTGCCACGGATTTGGTTGTTCCTGAACCTGAATCTGAAAAGCGGGGGTGGGGTGTGCGATGACAAATGAGGGTGAGAAGAATGTTTCCATGAAACCAGAAACCCTTTTGGAATCTGGGCTGAGAATCAGGATCCCACCCCCTTGCCTACCTCCAGGCTCCAGTAAGCAACCGCTGGCGTCCTCCCCTCTGCTCCTTCAGCAGCAGCGGACGTAGGGATCCCGAGCAGCCACGGAGCTTAGGTCCCGCAGAGAGCTCCTGCCAAGCGCTTCTCTCTCGACTAGTTACCAATTGAGAAAAAAAAGGGTCAGAGACACACAAGGATGGTGATCAAAATCCAGTGTCAGGCACCAGGGTCCCAGAAGGTTCCGGCTCCTCTTCTGCGCCTTACCCAGCTCTTTTCGTCTGGCAAAGGGTCACCCAGCGAGCCCCCAGCAGCAGATCCTTCCCTTTTGCTCCTCCTGATAGCGCCAATCTTCGCCGCCACTGCCACACTGCGCGCCCGCTATCCACTCACCGCACAGCGAGAAGGCCTGGCGGAGATAGCGCGGGGGGAGGAGGGTGGATTAAAAGGATAGATTTTTGGAAGGGTAAGGGAGAAAAACTTTGATGTTGTAACCACACACAGGACTGAGAAGAAACCAAAACAAGTTGCAGCTTCAGGAGCGGGGAGGACGCTTTTCGGGGTAAAAAAAAAATCACCCCCTACCAAAATCAGGGGGAGGAAGCTCCCTGCTCCTTGAGCGATCACCCAGAGCACCTCGCAATCTCTGATCTTCGAACCCACTGAAAAAGCACAGGGCATGGGGAGTCCTGTTGGTTCATGCCCAGGGTACGAATACCAAAAGCGCCTCCCGCTGGAGAGGCTGCGGGGAACTCGAGGCAAAGACAGAGGCAAACGCAACGCTGGGAAGAGTGAGGGGAGTCCGAGCTGCCGCCTGCAAAAGCAGAGACGCGTCGCCCTTCGGGCAAAGTGACTGCTACAAAGTCCGTTCCCTCCTGCGCAGGGACAGAGACATTTAAAGGCCTGAATGGACGTCAGCACCAGTCGAGCTCGCTGGGTGAGCGCCAGGTCTCCCCGCCCCACGGATTGTAGCGCGCACAGGGCGATCTGCTGCTCGCGAGGTAGAGTGGCTTACTTGGGGAGAAAACAGAGCTGGTGGCGCTGCGGAGTGTCAAACCCTGGAGCCCATCGTCAAGACGTTATACTGGTGGCAGTTCTGCTGTGAGTGCACTTGCCGAATTAAAAAGAGCCAGAGCTGCGTGGAGAGGGGTCTGGCCACTCTGCGCGCGCGCACCCAGTATTGGGTTACCAAGGAGCTCAACACCTGGTTTTTAGAAAGAAAAAAAAAAAAAACACTTTCTCTTTAGCTCTGGTTTGAGTAGGTATTCTGATTCGTTTCTCAAGGTTAGTTGAAATCCATCGAGATGTCTTTTACAAGAAAGGGATTAGACTTTCCTGTCTTGAAATTCCAATCAAGATAATACTCAATCTTTCCTTAACCCCCACTGTCTACTTCCTAACTCAGAGTCACAGTGGATGAAAGTATTCAAATGTCTTCAAATGACCATTACCCTGCATTCTAAGACGATTTGCATACTTAGACGCCCTTTAGTAACTTTAAGAGCCTTTGCACAAGGAAGTTGTATTTCTTATATTAATACCCTTCTATAAGTGATATTTTCTGAGGATTCTGCAACTATTTCCAGATAGACAATGAAGAATTAAATTCTAAAACTCAGAAATATAATGGAAAGTGGATTTATTTTTTCCTGTCTAAAGTGATCAATTATGTTTCCAACTTATTTTTACGTTTTTGCATGGTATATCAGCTATTACTTAAAGCCACAGTATCAAACAGAGGTGGAAAAAAACGGAATTCACATTACTGTGGTCCTTTCCTACAATTCCTTTGAGGAAATACGTGTGTGTGTGTGTGTGTGTGTGTGTGTGTGTGTGTATTATCTGTATATCATATGTATATATAAAATATTGTCTGTGCTATTAGGAGCCCAGGTTCTGTGCTGAGCACCTTGAGACTTGTTGTGTAGGAAGTAGTGAAGAATCGGTAAACAGAATAGAGAATCTCAAGACCAAAGGAACCCGTGAAAGGCAGTTATAGCTGTACGTTTTTTCCTTGTTTAGTTCCAGCCTAACCAAGGTAGGGTCTTCCTTGCTTAGTCACTTGAAGCCTTTCAACAGTGACATCAGCTTAACTTAATAATTCCACACTGCATACAAATATCAAAACATCAGAATGTATCCCATAACTATATAACAGTTATGATTTGTCAAATAAAAATAGTATTTTTAAAGTGACATAAACACAAATTCTGCCAGACAGCAGGGTCCATATTTATTCATTTTTGCACAACTGCCCAGCGGCCCTCCCTCTAGCGGCGGTCAAGGAGTCTGTCTCTCTCTTTCACTTGGTGTGTGTGCGCTGGCGCGTTTATGTTGGGAAGGTTGATCACTAAGAGAGCTTACAAATATCTGTAGGCTCTCCTGTGTAACCTCCTTCTCTTCCTAGCCAGGGCCATTCACCGGTAGGCTCTCAGGCGCCACTTCTAGAGCATCCTCTGATGTTGGTCCTGAACTGGGAGAGTCTGACCAAACTTGACGAAGAGGACTGTCAAAAGGCGTTAGAAACTTCGGAAACTGGCAACAGTTACGGCATTTTTGCTCTGCGAAGAATACGCCCAGAAGGTTCAGAAAGAAGTCGGGAGTGGGGATGGGGAGAAAAACATTGAAGGGCTATGGAAAAGCGTCAATAACATAAACTGACTTTAATTTTTCTTCATAGAAATGTTTCCGGTGAAATTTTCTAAGAAATCAGGGGACAGTTAATTTGCTTGGTTGACGCTCACACTCCTTGCTCTCACTAAGTCTCAGGTCTTCCAAGCCTAGCACTCTGTCAAAATGCTTTCGGGTTGAGGGGGAGGGCTTTCCTGGATTCCGCGACCACAACCCACCACCCCAAACCCCACTTCCCATGTCCTTGATTTTTGAGGCTTTTTGGGAGGGCATGATTTCAGGGAACATTACTCTTGGCCAGCTCAGGGGAGCATAGTCGGAAATCTTCGGTTGTATTCCTGACTCAGCCTGGGTGCGGAGCGAGCGCGGACAGGAACCGAGATGCAAAGGCGGACGCAACCAGCGCACCCGCAGACGGCGCGCGGCAAGAACCACCTTCTAGCCCTGAGCCTGCGGTGCCGGGCGGGCTCAGGAGGCTAGTGGGGTATTGTGATCACTGGGACATCAGGATGAAGGGGTCACTCCAATCCCTTGGAGATCAGATTCTCGGGGACTCCATGGCCAGACCCGAACGGCGCCCTTCACATGGTGGGTGGAGAGGGTACTCCTTGGCCGAATTGACCCCTCCCTGTCCCGCAGGGTCAGCCCCGCGCCCACCCACACATCCAGTCTCCGGGAACAAAACTCTGTCTGGATCTACACTGACCCGTTGACGCGCTTTCCCAAAGGAGGAACGACACCAACAAAAGCAGAATCGCTCGTGGGAGATTTTCTACCAAGAACTGTTACCTCCCTCCCCGTGTAATCGGTTTCCACTCAAAAGGATGCGGAAAGGACCTCATCCTCTGCTGTCCCTTTCGATTGGCCCGGGACTGGGCGAAGCCGGGAGCTGCAGGGAGGGGAGCCCCGGCACCCCAGCCTCTGCCCAACCTCCCCCAGCACGGCGGCCCTCGGCCCTCGTCACCAATTCCTAGGCAGAAAAGCGCGCGGCCGGAGCGCGCAAGTCTTGGCGTCCGGAAACAAGTGTTTTCCGCTCAGTCATGGCGGCTTCGCCAGTCGAACAGAGCGAAAGGGCTCTGGGCGACCCTGCGACTTCCACCAGACCGCGAGCCCGGAGCACCGGCGGAGGGTGGCCAAACGCGGGCCTAGGGCTCCCCCAGCGCTTCCGGGCGCGCCGGGAACTGCAGCTGGTGCGCCACTGCCTTCCCCGCGCGGTGCCCAAGAGCGCCAGTAGAAGGAGGAGGTCGGCACACCTGCTGTTCCTGCTTCCTTCCCAGGAGGCCGATTCTCTCCATCCCAACTCGCTCCGTGGCTCCTGCTTGCTCCTGTTCCCCCTCCCGACTCCCCGGGTAACAGTCGACCTTAGGGTCACAGCAGGGTGGGTACTAACTAGCACACAGTTAGCGTGGACTCTGACAATCCAGGGCTCATAGGATCACGTTTCCAAAAGCGCCGAGGAAAGGAACTTCCCTTGACTATGCCCAGAAGGATCAACTTACTGTGTGTTTGCGATCAATCATAGCAAAGCTGCCTTATGTAACCTAAGCACGTCCTTGCCTTTGTTTTTGTTTTTTGTTTTTTTTCATGCCTTGACAAGTCAAAGAAACAAGATTTGTAGTACTGTGTAGACTAACAACTGTTTCTCTTCTACAAGATAATTAATATATTTTATTTATTTTCTCTTCTAAAATAGTGAAAATAACCTTGGTTTAATACACATAATAAAGTACATTTTAATACTAATTGATGGATTAAATTTACAGGACAGTACATAGTATTGAATTTCCACTTATAACCTGCTTTTGTTATAAAAATAATGAAACTCATTTTCTTAGATATAAATATATATACACACACATATATATATAAACTTATAGAAACAATAAGCTTCAAATTCACAGTACATGGCAAATATAGTCAATAGTTCTAGTGTAAGTCAAAAGAAAAATAATGTCCTTACTCTCTCTCTCTCAAAAACTGTGTCAGAATTCAACAGAGCAATTGATTAGAAACCATACTCAACATATTTATTCACAAGTAGTAGTAAACTCAGAAAAAAATGTATTGGTAGCTTAATAATTTATATTTCCTATAAATCTCATTTCTTACAACAACTTTTAAAAAGTGCCTTGACAAGCCAAGTATGTTCTTGAATATTTGAACAGATTGTCTTAAAATGTAGATGTTTTTTTCTGCCATCATCAGTGATTGTCATAGCAAACAGATGCAAATAGCATCTGCTTCCATGGCAGATGCCAGGATGGTACTAGCATCCTTAAAATGTCCACAGAGTCTGTCTGGACAGTGATTAGCATTTTGTGGGCCCACTCGTGCTGTGTCAAGCTCTGCAGCAGTAGTAGAGATACTGTTAAACAACCCGATGTTTTATGATTACTAATTATGGCAACAGTACTAAAATATAACAATGATCTTAATGATATGCCTCTTCAAATTATATTTAAACATTTCCCAATTACCCTTACACTAACTATAGCCAATGAACAAGTTAAGAAAATTTAGGAGGAATAGATAAAAAGATGTACATTTTTAATTGTTTGTCCCATTCCTTCAGTTGTATTTGTCAGAAATACTATAACTAACATTTATTGACTATTTCTTGTTTGTTTAGTTCTACATGAAACTTTTTATGCACATGGCCACATTATTTCCTAACAACAAATCCGTGAAGTCAGGATGATTATCCCCATTTGTAAATAAGGAAACTGAAGCTTTCAAAGGTTGTAATACTGTGGACAGATTCCAAGAGCTGGAGAGGCAATATGCTGATCAAAGTCTGGAGTTCAGGATGTGATTGTGATAAACAAAATAATGGTCTCTCAAAGACATCTACATCTTAATCCCTGGGACCCGTGAATTTTTAAAGTTATATTGGCAAAAAAGAATCAAGGTTGCCAATAGAATTAAGATTCCCAATCAGCTGACCTTAAAATAGGGAGATTATCCTAGATTATTGGAGCAGGCCTAAAATCTGGAAAAGAGAGGCAGAAGAGGAGGTCAGAATGATGCTGTGTGGTAAGGAATCAACCTAGTATTGATATCTCTGGGTTTGAAGATGGAGGAAAGGGGCATGCATGGGCCAGGAAACGTGGGTGGCCTCTAGAAGCTAGAAAAGGGCAAGGAAACAGATTCACCCTAAGAGAAGGTCAGCACCTTGTGGACAATATCAACCCAGTGAGATCTGTGTCACACTTCTGATCTACAGACTAAGATAAAGTATGTGTGGTGTAAAGCCATTACATTTGTGATAATTTGTCACAGCAGGATTAGGAAAGTAATACACTGATGCAGATCTTTTTGAGTCAGAAACCGCATTTTAACCTCTGTACTTTTCAGTCAGTGATCAACCTCTGAATAAGAAGAAGGTTATCTACAAAGACCAAATAAGAAGCCCTTGGGAGTCAAAAGAAAGTAATCTAGGGGAAGTTTGACACTGATTCTATTTCTCCTACACTAATAAATCCACTTACATCTGGCAAAGGAACTAGGTAACAAATACGCTTTTATGTGCCCTCTATTGTCATTTTACAAAAAAATCACATATAAATTCAAATGGCTTATTTATATGCTTATTTTTCTACTCTATCAGTTTGCCTTTTTCTTTAAAAATATACTTAAACACATGCCTTAGCAAGCAAAGTAAACCGTTAAGAGAGCAAGGCTGGTCGCGGGGGTTCATGCCTGTAATCATAGCACTCTGGGAGGAGTGTATCCAAAACGGGTGGATCACCTGAGGTCAGGAGTTTGAGACCAGCCTGGCCAACATAGTGAAACCTTGTCTCTACTAAAAATACAAAGAAATTAGCCGGGAGTGGTGGTGCGCGCCTGTAGTCTCAGATACTCAGGAGGCTGAAGCAGGAGAATTGTTTGAACCCTGAAGGCGGAGGTTGCAGCGAACAGAGATTGCACCAATGCACTCCCACCTGGGTGACAGAGTGAGACTCCATCTCATTAAAATAAAATAGCAGTCAAGTGAAAATAATAACTCAAAAGTATGGAGTCTGGAGTGAAGTTAGTAAATAAAGCACATGCCACTAAACATTTGGTAACAGTTGGCTATAAATCTTATTCAAGTTTTTTTTTTCTATAAGGCAACTTGAATAGAGAAATGTGATTACAGTATATAATAAGATTTATGGTTTCTGTAACATAAACCTAAATCTTTTTCTATTGATAGGGAAAGAATGGAAGCAAAGAAGGAAGAAGAGAAAATAGCACCCAATTTCTAACAACAAATTTGAATCTAGTAGGACAAACTTATGTTCCATGAAACTAAAGCCCCTTTCTAACTTATAATTATTTTATTTTTAATTTAATTTTATTTTTTGAGAGAGGGCCTCACTCTTTCACCCAGGCTAGAGTGCAGTGGCAGGGTCAAAGCTCATGGCAGTCTTGCCTCCTCAAGTTCACATGATCCTCCCACCTCAGCTTCCCAAGTAGCTGGCACTGTTAGTATGTGCCACCATACCCAGCTATTTTAAAACATTTTTGTAGATGGGGTCTCACCGTGTTGCCCAGGCTAGTCTTGAAACCCTGGGCTTAAACAATACTTTTGCCTAGGCCTCCCAAAATGTTGGGATTACAGATGTGAGCCCCTGGGTTTGGCCTATGATTAGTTTAGATGTCAAAACACTGAGCCACAAATTATGAACCCTTCTTTTTCATGAGTAATACAAGACAGAGGTAAAAATCAAAGGATGGATTACATATGTACTGCAGCCCATCCTGTGTTACCATTTTTTTCTTTGTCTTGTCTTTTTGCTATGTTGCAATAACAGCATTATAATATTTGGGCTAGATTGATATTGCTGTATCACACAGACAAAATAGATATTTCAATATGATTGCTTCTGATCAATGGGCAAAGAGAAAAATTAGTTTTTTCTTCAGAGGTTTTTACTTCTCAAATTATTATTTTTGATAAAACTATGCTTGTGGTACAAACAATACCTTTCAAACAGCTCCAAGAGTATATAATAAAGTGTAAGTTTGTTTTTACATTCAGAACCTCTGTCTCTTATTACTTTTTACTTTGCTTCTACTCAGATCATATAGGGAGAATAGATCCTACAATTTTCAATAAATGTCATTGGTCTGAACCTGGATCAAGCATAATGTTGAAGTGAGCTAGGCCGATTGGAGACATTCCATGGAGATATTTAATAAGAGCAGCAAGATTGAAGGGCTACTTTTGTTTTCATTCTATTGGGAATGTGAAGCCTTGGAGCCACGGCTATTGTGATATTTGGGAGAGTCTTACTTACAGGCGGTGGGAATGGAGGCAAAGGTAGAACCCAGGAGAAACATGAGGCTGTTAAAGACATTAGACTTCCTTGTTAAATATATCTCTGAGGCGTAATAGTGTCACTTTATATTCTGAAGTTTAATTTTATGAGCTAATAGATACTATCCATTCATCTATTTACCTTTCTATTTTTCTATCAACTATCTTTCTTTTTATTCTTCTACCCAAACCAATTTAAGTTGAATTTCTGTGATTTTCAACTGAAAGAGACATGACTAATAGAAAAATACTAGTTACACAAGTCCATCCTTCTAAGATACCATGTGGCAAACAAAAGGCTGAGTCTACTGATTCTGGAAGGAGCAGGTTGGGGTCTAAGCAGCAGAAAAGGTCTCTTGGCAGACACATATAGGTAGGGGCACAAAAATTGGACTGCATCAGATGGACTGAACCCCAATCTTAATGGCCTGAACCCCAATCCTAATGGCCTGATGAGGAAATGAACATTATATTCAGTGTGTAAATATTATTTGCCAAGTTTTCCATTGTTCTTGTATATATATCCAGGATACAATCACAAAATATAAACTACTATATTAGGAAAAATAAGAACATATATTAATAGTATATAAACAAGACAAAAATGTAGTCATTGATGCAGATGCACAAAGGATCCAGATATTGGAGTTATTACATAAGGACTTTAGAATAATAATGATGTATTTATTAGAATTTATTGCTATAAAAAGGGAAAACTATGTGAACATTTTGGGGAATTTTCTAGAACATTGGAAACTCTGAAGAGGAAATACTTAGATATTCTATAGCAGAAAGGCAAAAATTAAGATGTCCTTTCATTGGGTTTAACTATGGACTGAAGTTAGCTGCAGAACTTACCAGTTACTTTAAATACTGATCCATAAAAATTAATGCAGAAACACAAAGGTAAAAAATAATAAAAGTGTCTCTGATTTATAGTTTGGTGGCAAAAGGAAAAACATAGTTCTAATTGGATTTCAGGAAGAAGTAGAGCTGGTGAGTAAAGACATATTAGATGAGCTAATACCTGAGAATTTCCCAAACATTGAAGAAGTTCAGCAATTCCCAAATAGAACTGATATAAAGAAAACCACACTGAGGTATACAACTTAAAAGCACCTACAGAATATGGAAAAAGAAACATCGAAATGAGATATTTGGCTTTTCATCTGAAACAACAGAATGCAGATGTTTCCCATCTTTCCCCTAGTAATTCCGTTTCCCTGTTATCTTTAAAGTGCTGTTAGAAAAATAGTCAAATAGAATTCTGTATTTTTAAAAAATATATCATTTTACAATGAATATAAAATCTTTCCAGAAAGAGACAAAATGAGAAAAATTATATGTTCAGCAGATTTGCACTAGAAAAAAATATTAAAAGCATTGATGGTAAATGATACCAAAAGAAACCCAAAACACAGGGGAAAATGAAGACTGCTGGAAAGGGAAAAGGTAAACGTATAGGTGACTACAAAAGGGCATTTTACTATAAATTTGCTAATTTCTTAACATTTATGGAGTATTTAAAGAAAACTTAACAAAATGCATCATGAATTTATAAAGCATGGAGATATAAAATAGAGGATAACTAAAAATACAGGAGTAAGTAGGGTAGAATTTTACCATTGAAAGGTTTTTACTTTCTTATAGTGGTAAACATTTTTGAACAAGGACTGGGGTCAGTTAAGTATGCATATCATATTGTTTTGTAACCTTTAGAAGTTAAGCCAAATTGATATTTAAAAAAGTCTACAGAGAATATAAATTTAAATGCTTAAAGTATTTAACCCAAACGAAGGTAGGAATAAAGAAACAAACTAAAAAGGCACAAAAATAGAGGCACAACACATTGAAAAACAAATAAGATGACAATAACCATTTTCTTGGCCACAGTAAATATTAAATAACTAAACAATTCAATTCAAAGTAGAGATTTTGAGCCAGGCATGGTGGCTCATGCCAGTAATCCTAGCACTTTGGGAGACCAAGGCGGGTGGATCACGAGGACAGGAGTTTGAGACCAGCCTGGCTAACATGGTGAAACCCCATCTCTACTAAAAATACAAAAATTAGCCGGTCATGGTGGCAGACATCTGTAATCCCAGCTACTCAGGAGGCTGAGGCAGGAGAATCGCTTGAACCTGGGAGGAGGAGATGGAGTGAGCAGAGATCGCACTACCGTACTCCAGTTTGGGAGACAGGACAAGACTCCTTCTCAAAAAAAAAAAAATCAGATATTTTCAAACTGGATTTTTAAAAAAAAGCTTTATATATTCCATATATAAGAAAAATAGCTTAAGTATAAGGATACAGCCAAGAAGAATGCAGAAGATTGGAAAGATTATACCGTGCAAACAGTAAACCCAAGTCCATGTGACTATATTAATGTCAGATAAGGTAGATATCAAGAAAAAAGAGTATTTCGTGGGATGAAGAGGAACACCAATAAAAATAAAAGATCAATATTTTTATGAACCCAGTGGCAGAAATTGAAAATACATAAAGCAAAATTTGATAGAAATAAAATAATATACTGAAATGTAGCTGGAATTTTAACACCTTTCTCTGTTAGTAATTGACAAAAGGAAACAAAATATAAGTAGAGTATAGAAGATTTCAACATGATCAATCAATTTTAGCTAATTGACATTTATAGAATAATATTACCAACAACTACATAGTTTGAATTTATTTATTTATGAAACATTACCCGTAGTAGGTTATCTGCAGAGACATAAAATGTCTCAAAATTTTAAATAAATAAACATGACATAGAGTAAATTTTTAACCACAAGCAATTAAATTATAAATAATTTTAATAAGATATCTAAAACTTCAAGAAGCATGAAACTACCATGAAGATATTTAAAAATTATGTGACACTCTTCTAAAACTGTATAGATCAAAGAACTAATTGCAAGGAAAATGTGTATTTTACACATATATATGCACATATATATTTATGTATGTATATATATACATATGTATACACACATAAATATACACACAGTATATTTTTTAAACAAGGTAATACTGAAAACATGATGTATTGAATGAAAACATATGTGAGAGTCTGCCCAAAAAATGATTAAAGAGAACTTTAATGATTTTTCCAAAGTTTTTATTCTTTTTCTGGTCTCTTTTGCAGATACAGTTAAGTTCTCTACCCTCAGATTCCACTCTTGGTCCTTTGCCTGTTTTATCTCTGAATGTTTCCCATCTTTCCCCTAGTTATTCCCTGTTTTTCAGGGGCTGACTACTGCAAATTATATTTCTTCAAGTTCGTTTGCCAACTGACTTCAGATCAGATTCAGTCAATGAAAGCTAGTGTGTAGGAGATTGGCCGGTGCCCAAAGAGTAACAGCTAGGTTGTTCCTCCTACTTTGCCTCGGCTATGGGTAGCATCTACACCATTACCTGTCCTCTAAATGGTTCTAGCTTCCATCAGGGAACCCTGGCTCCTTGTCTTTAGTAGCTTGACCTTCTCCCTTTATACTTTCAACCTGTTTCTGATTATAATTTGACTTCTCATATAGAGTAATCAGAGGGAGACAATCTACCGATTTCAACCAATTACTATTCTCTATGATATATTTTATTTATTTATGATACTATAAGACTGCATTTTATGTGTGTTTTAAGCATGAGTCAGCCCCTCAAAATTTGACAAAAGCAGCATTGGTATCTTCCAAAAGGAAGGTCAGATCCTGATGTGTGGTAAACTAATTAACATGAGATCTATGACCTAAAGGCTTAAGGTTTTACTTTGATGATTGTTATTTTTATAATTCTGAGTATCAGTGTTCAACATATTTGATGGCTATCCTCATCAAATGATCCTAATTTATTTACTCACTCATTTATGTACTCTTTGAAAATATGTATTGACATCTTCTGTGTCCCTATCCTCATACATATCTCAGTCTTGTTGCAACAGAGAAAAGCATATGGTGAAACAAGGGAGTTGGCCCATTCTTGACAACTTGTGCAGATACGAGTGTTTTGAAAGGGGAAGAAACTGGGAATGCAATTTTCTTAGTGTGGTGAGCTATTCTGCAATATTATAACAGATTCAATATTTAAAGAGCTGCAACTCAAAATGAATAAGATAAATTGAAGTGTTGTGATTTAAGTGCAAATTAAATTCTCAAAAACATTCAAATATAGGTTTTGCCTGTAATTAACAAAGCAAAGAGAGAGTGTAAATCTTATGTGGTGATTAGACTGGTCTATGGTAAAACTGTGGTAGCTGGTAATTTATTTTTCTATGTCAGGAAAAAAATGGAAAACAAATATAGTAAACAGCAATTAATGTTTTATGATTTGTAAGTAAAGTTATATTTTTAAGATTGAAGCCTCGCTTACCATTCTCAAAGAGCCATTTCAAGCCTTGAATCTCTCAGGGCTTCAGTCTGAATTATTATAACTTTCCAGTTTGAGAACATTTTTCATTTATTCAACATTTAAATTGTATGATATTGTATTTTCAGGAACAATTATGTTTATTTTTTATATGAAATAAAAGTGGACAAAATATTAACTGATAATTTTAAAACTATTATAATGACAAATACAAGGCATATCATAATTATGTGTGAATAAAAAGAGAAATGCCTGTAAAATTATAATAAATCATTCAAATATCTTAAAAGCAAAATGCATAAAAGGTAGAATGTGTATATTTTCAATTGAATGACCGTTTTTTAATTAAAAGAAATAAGAGGATTCTTAAAACATTCAATTAGAAACTAGGGATTTTCAGCTTTTCCCTTGATTCTATTAGAAATGTAAAACAAAATAAATTTAAATTCAAAAACATGACAGACCCTTCATAATGTATTCTCTGCCTACTGATTCCATGTCACTTCTAATTTCTCCCTCCATACAAAATATGTTGAAATTACACTAAATCTTTGCCTTCTGTGCTTTTATTTTAACACACTCTATCATCTTTGCAGTTGAAATTTTCTCTGTTCATATAACTTGCCTTCTTTCTTCCACTTTATGGTTTAGCATCTTTTTATCTTTCTTGGATCATCTAAGGTTTAGCTTTCTTGTGGAAATCTACATTGGCTGCACTTCCTAGATATTCCCATTGGGCCTTGAGTTCCTCTTATAGCACTTCCTACACTGCGATGTGTTGCCACGCTTACTAACATAGCTAACCTATTATACAGTAAAAACAGTTAGGGGACAGTTAGGGTAAAAAGACTAAAGTGGGTAAAGTTAGGGTTTGGGTTACAATACTAGTTGTATCTTGATTTGCTAGCATAGCATACATACTAGTCACCAAGTATATATTTATTGAATATATCTATAAATAAATCAATAATAACTTTTAAAACATGGACCTTTGGTTTGTATCTTATAAAAAGCTTCTCTAAAATATATGAAAGTTCTCACTGACTTTATGAAATATACATTGCTCTGATTTCTTATTTATTTTTATTTATTTATTTTGAGAAAGAGTCCCTCTCTGTCACCCAGGCTGGAGTGCAATGGCGCAATCTCGGCTCACTGCAACCTCCATCTTCTGGGTTCAAGCAATTCTCCTGCCTCAGCCTCCCAAGTAGCTGGCATTACAGGCACATGCCACCACACCAACTAATTTTTATATTTTTAGTAGAGATGGGATTTCACCACGTTGGCCAGGCTGGTCTCAAACTCCTGGCCTCGTGATCCGCCTGCCTCGGCCTCTCAAAGTGCTGGGATTGCAGGCGTGAGTCACCGTGTCCAGCCCCTTGCTTTGATTTCTTAGTCTTCTTAAGCTCTGGTCCTTAATATTTGAGAATGTCTGGCAGGATCCATGAATTTTAAATTTTAAAATTTGTATAAGCCCAAAATTTGCATGCAGTTTGCATGGAATTTTGCAAAATGTATGGAAATCCTGAGGTCTGGCTTTTTTTTTTCTTTTTTTTTTTTTGGCAGTGTCTCATTCTGTCACCCAGGCTGGGATGTGGTGGTGTTATGGTAGCTTACTGTAACCTTGAACTGCTGGGCTCAAGCAATCCTCCAGGCTCAGCTTCTGAGTAGCTAAGATTAAAGGCATGTGACACCATGCCCAGCTTATTTTATTTTATTTTTTTTCAGAGACAAAATCTTGCATTGTTTCCCAATCTGGTCTCAAACTCCTGTCCTCAAAGTGATCCTCTGGTCTAGGCCTCCCAAAGGGCTGGGATTCCAAACATGAGCGGTTGTGCTCAGCCTTGAGGTTCTGGCTGTAATCTGGCTGTTATTTATGGAAACAACAGAAGTTCTTGGTATTACCAGTCATTCTTCTTGAGACAGTCACCCCACAAGACTGAGATGAATATAGTTAAGAACTGAAAGTGAGGTCATTATGGCAGAACAGAATTGACAGTGCACATTAAAAGACATTACACACTTTGGGTGATTCAACTAAATCATAGTCTAAAATGCAGTTACAAAATGGTAATGTTCAAAAGATCATTTATTAGTCAAAGTTACAAGAAGGGTCCTGGTTATGTTGGTAAAAATTGAGGTATCTGTGATTATCCATCTTCAAATTATTTGTTAAATGCTTATTAAGATAAAAAAGTTACATTTCAAAAGTATTTATATTATTCGTCAATTCCTGCATAACAAATTATCCCAAAATAAAGTATAATAATAAAATTTAAAAAAAAGATAAGAAACATATTCTTCATGACCAAAAAAAAAAAAAAAAAAAACAGCCTTTATTATCTCAAAGTCTCTGCGGGGCAGGAATCTGGGCATGGCTTATCTGGGTCTTCTATTCAGAGACTGTCACAAGTTATAATCAATCTCACTCACATGCTTGTTGGTAGATTCAGTACTTTGACAGGTGTTGTCCAGAATTCCATATAATGTGAGCCTCTCCAGCATGGAAGCTTTCTTCATCAAAATGTGCAAAGCCAAAAAAAAAAAAAAGCCATTGAAAAGAGTCAAAGACAGAAGTCACATCTTTTGTCACCTAATCACAGAATCAACATCTCATCATGTTTGCTGTATTCTATGCAATAGCAGCAAGCCAATAGATCCAGCTCACACACATGGGGAGGGTATTAGACAAGGGCTGGAATCCCAGGAGATGGAGACCATTAAAAACTATGTTAATCTGCCGATTACAGTAGTTTGTCAAAGAATCCTGAGATAAAAATTCTGGGCTCAAAGTTCTTATAAGGCACTTAGGCAGGACAATAAAGGAACAGAAAATAGTACTATATTAATTTTACTGATTTACTAATACTAATATACTGGTATAATGTACTAAAACAGTATACTACATTTTTGGTAATTTGTTCCAGAAGTAATAGAAAAAAATCCAAATATTAAATGTTAAAGCATATTATAATTCTGTGATAATTAACTCTGTAATTTAAAAAGTCTAATATAGGAATATACCTAAAAAGAATGCTTTAAAAATATACTTTATTTCCTAACTAATATATCAAAATGGAGCCTTCACATATGAAATTAGTAAAATATTTTTGACCTAATAATTTCATTTTTAGCTTTTCACTAAGAAGTAATATTGTTTGAAAAATATTATGTACCAAGGAGTTTAAAACATGCAGTTGTAGTTAGGTAAAATTTAAAATTAAAATTGTGCAATAAATGTATGTAAAAACAAAATAATATAGGAATCTAAATAGCCCTATATAAAAAGGCAAACATAAAATTAAAAATTAGCATTAACCAAAAATATGCTCTGAAGTATGTCCCCTGACTAAATTTACTTAATTTAGTTTCTTTTGGAAAAAAATTTAAATAATTGTATTTGCTAGTAAGAGAAGGTAGACCATTATTTGCCCATTTGTTATCAGAAGTAAAACAAGACATTTATGTTTTCAGAAGTAAAACAAATACAATATTTTCTAAGTAATAAGGTTGAGACAAGAAAAAAACAGCAATGAGTCAAAATGTCTATTTACATGCTTTTACAGGAAAACAAGACTTAGCTACTTTCTTCCCAAAAAAAAGAATTTAAGTAGAAATGTTATTGTTTTACTAAAAGTAAATACATTTTACATACTTCTCTCATAATTTTAATCTGGAGTTCAGTTATGGTGATCATATTAGTCAGTGTTTTCCAGAGAAACAGAACCAATAGGAGAGAGAAAGAGATGGGGAGATGAAATAAGGAATTGTTTAGTATGATTGTAGGGGAAAAGACATCCCAAGATCTGCAATCAGCAATCTGGAGACTCAGGAGAGATGGTGGCATAGCTCCAGTGTGAAAGCTGGCAGGCAGGTTTGACACTAAATAAAAGCCAAAGTTTCAGTTTGAGTCCAAAGGCAGGAAGAGACCTATGTCCCATCTCAATGCATTCAGGTAGGAGGAAGTTCCTTCTTACACCTAGGAAAGTCAGCCTTTTTATTCTATTCAAGACTTCCACTGATTGGATGGGACCCATCCACATCATTGGGGAAGTCTTCTTTACTTGGTCTACGAATTCAATACAGAAAAAGATATACATAAGACATCATTTAAATTTTTTAAAAATCATTTCTAATCAAATTGTAGCATTTTAATTTTGTTTTTAGAGTTTTGTAAGTGTCCTTAATTTTTCAGCTTATTCTTAAAAAATCAATTTCACTTTATTCAAAATTGCCTTTTGGAAAACATTAAATGGTGGCCCATATAATCTTAGACTTTACATGCTTTTTGATAAATATAACATTAAAAGTAGCTTGTGTAGCAATTTAAATTACATATATAAGATGTACATATATTATCCTCCAGAGGAAATAAAACCATTAAGAACTCTGATTTAGTCAGGGTTCTCCAGAGAAACAGAACTGATAGGAAACGTGTGTGTGTGTGTGTGTGTGTATACATATGTGTATGAACATATATATGTGTGTGTATATACACACATATATACACACACATATGTATATACACATATGTATATACACACAAACACACATATGTATACATATATATAGAAAGAGAGAGAGAGAGAGAAGAAGAAGTGAAGAGAAGACATTTATTAGGAGAATTGGCTTATCTGATTTCAGAGGCTAAGAAATCTCATAATAGGCCATGTGCAAGCTGGAGAACCAAGAAAGTTGTTAGCGTGGCTCAGTCCAAATTCAGAGGCCTTTCCAGACCTTACCACTAATCAACGCATTATATTTAGAAAGGTATCATAGTAAGTCTGTATTTCAATTTAAAATTCTCTATTTTCGGTGACAGTGAAGGACAAAGGGGCAAATTTTATAATTATTGTGAAAAGAGATTATAGAGAAAGGGCCTGGATAATACCAAAAATAGAAGAAAGAACCATCCATCTGTGGCAGAGAACCAGCAGTGATATTACTTGAAATATGGAAATTAATAATATGTATGGTTGAGTTTAAGGTCTAAAACATAAAAGTTAAACCTAAATCTAAAATATATGATTTAACTCTCTAGAATAAATCTACTCAATTATATGAAACAAGCAGACTTATTCTCAATATTTTATCAATAATAAAGGTTTTTCCAAATAGTATTGAAGAAATAGCAAGGTGTCTTAAAAAATGGCCTTAGACCATGAACCATAGAGAAAAAGACAAGGTTTGCCATGAAAAGTGAATAACCTTTTTATTTCCAGTTGTGATGTGTTCATACAAACCATTAGCACTTTCATTTCAGTGAATTATGCCAGTTCTTGCTGTACCTTGTCAAATGAGCCAGTTAATACCCTAAATCTAAATGAAACTTTTCTCCCTTAGATGAAAATAAAATGAAAAATTTATCTAATTAAGTTCAGACAAAATATAGGTCATGCTTTTAAAGATTTTAAAAAGATTAAAATGTCAGGCATGGTGTTATTCCCAGGATTAGCTTTGGCCTATACATCATTCTGCAATGATAGAAACATTTGTATGCTCACAAGCGGCCTTTGGGCACTTGGAGAGTGACCAGTGTAACAGCTAAGGAACTAAAATTTCACTTTTCAAAATTTTAGCTAATTCATATTTAAAGAACTCTGTGTGGCTAGTGGCTACCATATTGGATGGAGCAATTCTAAATGAATGAAAGTGGTTGAACCCTTTGTCAATTTTAGTGCCTTTGACTATTAGGGCAGATGGTAACTAGAGCTTTCCCCTTTCATCCTCCAGGATGTTGAAACAACATCCACCTCTGCTGAAAATACTTCTGTCTGCTGCATGAAGAGTGCTGCAATCCAGCTGAGCAAAACTAAAATATCATTGACCTCTATTGTTTGAGAGTATGCTGATATTTGTTCATCGTTTTCTAAAGTATTAATTGCATGTGATCTTGAGTATAAACTGGTGTTGAACAGATAATACATTTGTGAATGAGGCTTACTTTTGCGAAGTAGTTGCAGGAGTTTGTGCTGACTCCTCTCTATTCTTCGCAAAGCTGGCCTCCTTTTAGTGTCTTCCATCTCTTATTTTTCTTTACCTTAAATAAAAAACATTCCTATGTTACATTTATGGTTCATAATAACTATCGTGCTTATTTTCTACAATGTTTCTATTATGATGATTATTATGTTCTTTGCTATAATAGTAAGATTTTATAAATGAAAAAGAAAATAGGTAGCACTGAGTAATACTTAAAATTAACTAGAAGACAATTTCTGAAACTTTGTGAATTGGCAAATATAAGACATATAACCTAGCTAAATTTAAGCAACAAATACAAAGGATACAATTAACATGTTAGAAAGTATGTGTTTGTTTCTTTATTAATTGGTGCAGTTGAACTCTTCGGAAAAATTGCATCTCCCGAAAAACTTTGTTTTGTAGAGTATAGGAGGACTAGTGCATCCATCCTGAATATATAAAGAGCTAATCTTCTGGAAGAGATATGACAAATGTTATTCTTGTGCCAATAATTAAAAAGAAAAAAAAGGAAAACGTAAGACTTTTAAAACTAATAATCTAGGATCAAATATTAAATGTATGACAAGTGCAGATGATAGCAATGTTCTCATGCAATTATGTGTAGCATAAAAATTTCTTTAAGAATGACTTTAAAAAATAATAGAACATCTGTGCAATACCATTGTATAAAACAAAAAATCAAGGAATATTCTTGAAAAAAGTATTTTAATTATTATTTTCATCAACTCTACAATTATTAGACAATTATGTAATTGCAATTCATTACATTTTAAAATATATTGACATTTTATTTTCTAATTTGCATGTATTTCTTGAACATTTCCAGTTTTATTAATCACTACTTTTGCTAACATTCTACGAATTGAACTTTTTTGTGGCTGACTTTAATGCTTTACTGTCTTCACGTAACTAGACTGGACTCTCCTTTGAAAATATATGATCGACATAAGCAGGCTCATCTCCAGATAGAGGTTATTTATTGGCATTTCGAAGTTGTTTGAGAGTTGTTATTAGAAAGCTATGGAAATAACTATCTCTGAATTGTCCATTGCCTTCAGGAATCACTTGTGGAATATTGAATTGAATAATAAAGAAAGAGAACTTTATCAACTTCTTATCAATTTTTTTTTTGAGGCTTAGTTTTGCTCTTGTTACCCAGGCTGGAGTGCAATGGCACGATCTCTGCTCACCGCAACCTGCGCCTCCTGGGTTCAAGTGATTCTCCTGCCTCAGCCTCCCTAGTAGCTGGAATTACAGGCATGTGCCACCACACTTGGCTAATTTTTTATTTTTAGTAGAGACAGGGTTTCTCTATGCTGGTCACGCTGGTCTCGAACTCCTGATCTCAGCTGACCTTCCTGCCTCAGCCTCCCAAAGTGCTGGGATTACAGGTGTGAGCCACTGCACCCGGCCCCCAATCTACTTTTTTATAGATGTGAACGCATTGCAAGACAAAGCACAAAAAATGACCAAGAAACCATAAATAGAACATTCCCACATGGCCAGGCATGGATTAAAGTCTAGGATATTGAAGGTCAGGCATGGTGGCTCACCCCTATAATCCCAGCACGTTGGGAGGCCAAGGCAGAAGAATCACTTGAGCTCCGGAGGTCAAGACCAGCAAAACCCCCGTCTCTAACAAAAATACAAAAAATCAGCCTGACGTAGTGGTACAAGCCTGTGGTCTCAGCTGCTTTGGAGGCTGAGGCAGGAGGATCACTTGAGCAGGGGAGGTGAATGTTGCCGGGAGACAAGCCACACCCACTGCACTCCAGCCTGGGTGAGAGAGTGAGACTCTGTTTCAAAAAAAAAGAAAAAAAATGTCTAAGATACTGGGAGTTCTCTGCCACTCTTCCCTGTTTCATCTAAGATTTTTAGTACAATCTCCTGAGTCACACAAGCAATAAGGCGCCACTATTTCTCTTCTAAAAATAAGGATGTAGTGCAAATGCTTCCATTTTAAAATAATTGCTCTATTAAGTGCCCAATTTATACCTTCTTGAAAGGTTACCTAATTGCTTCAGCATACATTTATCACTGTCTTATAAATATTTTTAGCACTGATTTGAAGTTACATAATTGTATGACCTGAGTTAGAAATGTAGTTCTGCTTTTAGGTATTCATTTAAACAACTACTATTTAATGAATACTGAGCTGTTTTCATTAAAATAAGAGTTATTTGATATATAAACAACAAGAGGAAATGGATCCTTCAGCCAGATGAAGAATTGATTCATACATTTTAAAATTGGGAAGTGCTTGGCACTATAACTTGATGGTCCTGATGAAATATGAACTTGTACAGAGAAGCAACATTTTTCACACAATTACTATACATTCAACATTGTGCTTGCTGATGAGGATGCCAAATAAATAAATTAATTAATTAATTATCACTTTTTGAGGATTTTCTGGGTTCTTGTTAGAAAGATGAAATGAATATGTACAAAATAATTTTAAAATTATAAAGGGCATGATTATATACATATTACATGGAAATTTGGAAAGACAATATTAATGACAATTTTTGTTTATATGCCATAAAATTAACCCTATTGCAGAAAAAATTATATTATAACTATAAATATGTAACTATATAGCAATATATACAGTCTATGACTTTGTTTTGTATATCTATATAGCTATCTGCATTTATGACTCTTGGCCAGTTAAACCTAGTCTGTTTTCTCATGTTACCTGTAACATACAGCCACAATATCAATATAACAATACTATTTACTATTGTTCTAAGTTTAATATCTTTCCAATTCAAGGTCGTTATTGGGTCCAAATGTAATGTTCTAACTTAGTACATTTGGAAAATTCTTTCCTAACGCCTCTGGGAAAACACAAAATATTACTTACAAAAATAAATGCATAAAAATGATTAAAACCTCTATATAAGTTTGGGTGAGTATTTTCACATTGCTATAAAGAAATACCCAAGAGTGGGTAATTTATAAGGAAATGAGGTTTAGTTGACTCACAGTTCAGCATGGCTGGGGAGGCCTCAGGAAATTTACAATTATGGCGGAAGGCAAAGGGGGAAGTGAAGACCTTCTTCACATGGCGGCAGAAAAGAGAGAGCTAGCAAGAGCAGGAAAAACTGCCTTATAAGACTATCAGATCTCCTGAGAACTCACTCACTATCATGAAAACAACATGGGGGAAACCATCCCCAGGATCCAATCACTTTTCACCTTGTCCCTCCCTGGACATGTGGGGATCATGGTGATTACAATTCAAGATGAGATTTGAGTGGGGACACAGAGCCAAATGATATCCACGGCCTTAGGAAAAACTATTGTATGATTACTCTATTTAGATGTTTTAAATGTCATAATTTGTAATGTTTAAAATATGTTAATTACAAATAAACACAGAAAAAATAATGACTACAATGTATTTTTATAAAGTCATACATAGAATTCATGATTAAAGTGGAAATAATATTGTGGATTTAAGATCAAACAATATTTTTTGAAAAATTTTGAAACTTTAATTATTATTATTTCTCTGTGAAACATCAATATTACAAGAGAACAAAGAGAGGAAAATTCAGTGGAAGTAAGTGTTGGCTCATGAATTGTAAGTTCAGTTGTACCTTGCAAGATTATATTATTGGTATTGTTAACACCACTCAGTAAATACTTTCTTTTTTCAAACACAGGAAGACTTGCAATCTGGTAGCTATTGCTTCTGTACTACAGATAAATTAAAAACAAACAAAATTTGAGGTCAGCAAAACTGATAACCCTTGATAAAATTTCCAAAGTTCTCTTACATAGTTCAATGATTTTCTTAACTACCTTCTCAAGGACTCCCATAAATTAATCCGAAATAACTGTTTGAATACTATTTATCTCAATATCTTTGTTCTTGTGACTTATCAGAGAATGAAAGATGGTAAAAAGAACAATAATATCTTTTAATAGTCTTCAGAGTAATTTTAGGAGATGAAATATAATTTTATGACTTTTTTTACTTTTTACGAACATATGGAGATATATACACACTAATACAAGTTTCAAATGTATTACTGAATAACTGATTAAACGTGGGTTTTGTTTACATTCTTTTAAATGAGAATTAAGGAAAGAAAAAAATGAGTGCTTCTTCATACCTACGAGAATGCCTAAAATGAAACAGAAGGAAAATACAGAATGTTGGTGACCACATGGAGCAACCAGAACTCTCATACACTAATAGTGAGAATATTAATTGGTATAGCTACTTCTGAAAATTGTTGAGTCATATCTACTATAGGCCAATGTACATACTTTCTATAAATCAGACATTTCTTCCCCCCGAAGCATATACTCAACAGATAGGCACACATATGTTCAACAACAGCAGCAACAAAAAAGAAACTGGAATAATTGTAACAGACTTACCTGTAATGACCTAAAATGGAAAATTACTTAAATCTCCATCAAGAACATACAGAAATTGTCTTATATTGTACCACAGAACACTTTCGAGAAATGAGGACTGATCATGCACCATTGGACACAAAATACGAAGGAATCTTACAAACATGTTGTTGAGTGAAATAATTCAGTAACATGATCTCATTTGTATACATTTCAAAATGATAAAATTATTCAATAGTAAAATAAATTATAATAGAGGTTATCCTTGTGTGGAGGCAGCTAGAGATGGAAGGCAATTATGAAGGCAGCAGCTTGGTTGTAGAATATCATCGGTATTTTTTTCTCAATATACATTGTATTTTTTAAAGTGTTGAGCCGTATATTTATAATTTGTGCACATTATTGTTTCAAAGTAATTTTTCTACAAAAACCCAACCATTAAGACTCAGATTTTCTAAAAAGAAAAGAAGAACCAGCTACTTTTAATGTTTTCATGTTTTATCCCAGAAAAATAAACTTTGAATAAGGGAAGGACAAATGGGTCTGGCTTAATATTTGAAATGATGAGAGGAGAAAATATAAGAAAAACATGTCTATATTTTATTAAATTATGGTAGAAAAAAGGCTTTTCAACACTTTACGCATTCACAGGTTCATGAGTAACTTTGTAATTCACAATCAAGTGTTCAATTACAAAATACTGGAAAGTTATAACATGTGTTTGTCTTTACGCTGGAGTACAGCTTAGAGGAAGTTGATCAGTTGTGTATTTTAAAAATTTATTTATTGTGTAAATATAAAAATACATTCCAATACAGAGATTCAACAAAATAAATATTCGTCTGAACTTTGGCTTAGAAAATAATTTTGTTTTTTCTTCTTCTGTCCCATAATTTAGAAAATATGTAAGTTTATTTCAATTTTAGATTTATTGACATTTTGATCTTGATTTGCTTGAGTTTTAGTTATTGAAATTATAATTGGAAATGGTAGATTAATCCAAAATTAGAAATTTGATTCATGTCAATATTTAATTAAGCTTTTTGTTTTAATTGCAGATTCACATACACATGTAAAAATAATTCATTCAAATCATGTGTATCCTTTGCCAAGTGTTCTCCAATAATATTGTTGGGACAATGATATTGCTATAGTCAAGTTTCAGGAAAATTCCATCACCCCAAATATGCCACACGTTGCAGACATCCTTATCTTATTCCAAATCTTAAGGGTAAAGCACTGTGTCTTTCATCACTAAGTATAATATTGGCTGTAGGTACTTGTAGGTAATTTTAGTAACTTGAGAAAGTTATTCTGTTTATGTTTCTGATAGTCTTTATCTAAAATGGTATAGACTTTGACAGTTTTGTTCTCAATTGATATGATTATATCATTTGCCTTCCTAAGCCTATTTATATTGTGGATTACATTGATTAATTTTGGAATATCGAACAAACCTTGCGTTAGTGCAATTAACCCTAATTAGACTAATATAATTATATTTAAATAGAAAATATTTTTTAATGATTTTTTTTGTCTATATTGGTAATTGGCCCGTAGTTTTTTTCTTTGTTTTTATTTTGTGCTTGTTGGTTTTTATATTGGGGTAATACCAATTTCAAATAGCAAATTGGGAAATGCTTCCTTCTCATATTTTGTGGAAGAAATTTTGTAGAATTGATGTTAATTCTTATTTAAATATTTAGCAGAATTCACCAGTGAAACAATCAGGACCTAAAGATTTCTTTTCAACAGATTTTTAACAGGAATTCAATTTCCTTTAGAGTTTTAAGGCTACTCAAATTATCTATTGCATATTTGATAAATTTAGTAATTAGTGTCATTTGAAGAATTTGTCCATGTTATCTACATTATCAAATTTATGTGTGTAGAGTTGTCCTTTTGGTATTTGCAGGGTCTATAGTGACATCTACTTTTTCTTTCCTGATACAAGTAAATTGTGCCTTCTCTCTTTTTCTTTGTTAGTTTTGCCAGAAGTGTGAAAACTGTGGTGATTTTTTTCAAATAGCCAGCCATTAACATTTACTTTTCTTGATTTTCTGCTTTAAATGTCCATGATTTCTGATCTTAGGTTACTGATTTGAGACTTTCCCTTTCTTAATGAAAGCATTTATTTTTATAGTATTCCCTTGTAGAAATTATTTAGATATGTTCCATCAATTTTGATATATTCATTTTGATTTAGTTCATTGTATTTTTGAATTTTACTTAGGACTTTCTCTTTGACCCTTAGATTATGTAGAACTATGTATTTAGTCTGTTGGGAACAGGATACCCAAAATCTGGCCATAAATTGGCCCCTAAACTGGCCATAAACAAAATCTCTGCAGCACTGTGACCTGTTCATGTGACCATGACACCCACGCTAGAAGGTTTTGGGTTTACCGGAATGAGAGCAAGGAACACCTGGCCCACCCAGGGCAGAAAACCGCTTAAAGGCATTCTTAAACTGCAAACCATAGCATGAGTGATCTGTGCCTTAAGGACATCCTCCTGCTGCAGGTAACTAGCCAAACCCATCCCTTTATTTTGGCCCATCTTTTTGTTTCCCTTAAGGAATACTTTTAGTTAATCTATCATCTGTAGAAACAATGCTTATCACTGGCTTGCTGTTAATAAACACGTGGATAAATCTCTGTTCGAGGCTCTCAGCTCTGAAGGCTGTGAGACCCCTGATTTTCCCACTCCACACCTCTATGTTTCTGTGTGTGTGTCTTTAATTCCTCTAGTGCCGCTGGTTTAGGGTCTCCCCGACTGAGCTGGTCTCAGCATAGTCTTTGGAAATTTTTGAATTATTTTACTGTTACTGATTTCTAGTATTGTTCCACTGTGATCACAGGTCACAGAATACACTGTGTATGATATGACTTACTATGAATTTTTTGAGGTTTGTTTTATGGCTCAGAGTGTGAGATACGGTCTACTTCAATATATGTTCCATGCACATGTAAAATGAAAAATAAAAATCACAGTACTTCAATTCTGTATATCAAGATCTGATGTTTTATGGCTGTCACTAATATAGGTTAATTGGGAATTTGGGGAGACAGTAGTCATGGTAGTAGTCTGGTTGTGCGTGTGTTTTGCATGTGTTTGGATAATCTGTTTCTTTTATTGACTTGCGTTTTTTCTTTCTTTAAAACATTTTGTATCTCTTTTTCTACTCTTTCTTGTTCATTCATTCTCTTTTTCCACGTTACTATTTTTTTATCTTGTCAATTTTTTTTTTCTTTTACTCATATTCATAGAGTTTAAATGAAAAAAGGAGACCAGGATACAGAGAGTAATTGAAGAAACATGACTTGTCCAAAGGAATGAAATTGAGACTATCTAGTCCATTTCCTCCTTTAAATTGAAATGTTATTTCTGTGCCAGGACAAGCCTTTTTTGAGTAAGTGGATGCTCAAATCAACCAAAGGACACAAGACTACCACAAAACAGGAAGCTACAGCAGAGTATAAATTCAGTTCAACATCTGTGTTTCCAGATACATTTAGCTTCAGCAATAACACATGCCTGACCATGGAGACCACATGAGTTTTTTTAAGAACCCTGAAAAATAAGCTTTTGCCTGTTTTCTTTGGCCTTCAGACTGGAAAAATGAGCATATTAAATAGGAACCCAGCATTAAATAGTTTTGCATCTAGTCAGGTGACTCAGTGTATCACATTTAGAGTTTCTTCCACTTTTGTATTTTAAATATTACATAAAATATTTTCTAATAATAACTTCTTTAAATACAGTAAAAACTTAAAATCTATTTTACTTTCATATTCTTTTATCCAACTTTCTTCAGAGATATAATCACTCTTATTGGTTTAGCATTTCACTCTTACCAGTTCTAGTATTTTCTAATTCTATTTATGTGTTATTTTGGATAATCATATTTCTCTCACTTACTGAATGATGATAAGTGGGAGGAAGTGAATTCCATTGTTAGTGTGAAATTATTATCTCCAAGGGTGTTGTTAATTTATTGAAAATATTATTTGTCAAGTGCCTATTGTGCTAGTCCAGGCATTGTGCTAGTCACTGGGGATATAAAAATGTGCAGGTACATAAATAACTTTATGAACAATTAAGGGATACAAGAAAAGAAAAAAATGAAAAAGTTGTGTGCTGAGTATTAGTATACTGTAAATACAGAGGGCAGATAACACAGACTTGTGGTTAAAGTAGTATTCTCATGGAAGATGTTGTTAAAGCTAACACATAAAGAAACCTAAGAATTATTCACATTTGGGGTATTTGAAGAAGATTCAGCAGAAAAAAAATGACCTAGAGGCAACAATAAACATGATACTCTTTCTGAAAGTGAATGTTTTTCATTGTGATTTTATTTTGCATAGGGCATGGAAAGGGAAGATTGACAGAAATGAGGCTGGAAGCAGCCATAACATTCTAAAGAGTCAGGTCAGTCATATGCAGAATTGTGGATACTGTAAAGAGAGCAGTGAGAGACAATAAGACAGTTTTAAGTTGAGGAGCAATATAATCTGAAGTTTTAAAAGTGCGCACTGTTGGCAATGTGAAGAATTGATTAGAGAAGATTAATACTGCAGACAGGTAGAAGATCAGGTAAGAGCACTGTTGTGATAATCCAAGAAAGCAATTATGAGGGACTGAATTATGGTTTTTGCAAAATGTAGGAAATGAGTGAAGATGACTTTCAAAGATTTCCATATGTGGGTATTAAAATTACCATAATTATAGGAATGAATACATATGAGAGTGATAAAAATGAATTGCAAGCTTCTGACTTAAATCGCTTGAATGAGTAAAAATGAGTTCATAAGAAAGAGGGCAGCCTGTTGAATAAGGTATTGAGTTCAATTTTCAGTATGGTAGTTTGAGGGGGAATATTTAATTAGATAAACTACTACAGCTATCTGATAGGTTCCTGGAGAATCAGGTGTGAATTTAGGCAAAAGGTCTAGGTGGGATTTTATCACAAGCTAATGTATAGGAATGGTCAAGAATGCAGAAAAGAAGTCAGAGGAAAAAGATAAGAACTGTATAAACAGAAAATACATTCTGAGGAACAGTGAAAGCAGTATTATTAATGTTATACAGTTTCCAGAGTAAGACTAGATAAAACAATATGGAAGAAAAAGACTACCACTTTAAAACCAAATCATAAAAAAGAAATAAAAATGTCCCCAAAAAGTAAATGTCAAAATGAATATAAATCCGGACTTTAAATAGAAATCATTTAAATAACTAATTTTAGCAGTGTAATAATATACTTTAAAATATAAATAAATAAGTTCAATTGTTATCATTGGCATAATGTTGTAAACTAAATGTCTTTTAAGACTGGGTAATGATCTCGTGAGAGTTCTTATAAAAATAGCCAATGACCCATTCTTTGTGTATTACCTGTGTGTGTGTTTATGATTTACTGTTTAATTATTTGAAATTGTCAGCTTCCAATATGTATTAATATTAAAAGGTACAGTTCAACTTGTATATATGGGCTGAGCATGTTTCTTACAAAAAATAAATTTTTGTTATGGGTATAAATGATTGTTATAATATCAATGCCTGTGGTTCAGGAATACAGATTTCCTCTTTTATAAATGTATGTACAAAACATCACTTCAGAAGTTATTAAGTTAATAACATAATCATGGGCCATGATAATTATCTTATGATGGTCATCATTTTTAATAATTTAAAGAAAATAAATACATAAATAACAGAATATAGACTTTCTGATATTGTGTAAATTGAACATTCTTAAAATTAACTTAAGATATTCAAATAAGAAACTGAACCTAGTAACATCAATTTTTAAATTTAATTTTTATACTTAGGGAGGGAGACTTCTAACCGGAATAAAATTATAATAAGGATGTGTTATTCAAATCTCTTCAAATGCTCCCACGTAAACATATATTGAAAATAGGCAAGCAGCAACAACAAAACAATAGAATACAGACCACCCTCAAAATTTTTAAAAAATACACTGTAAAAGATAATCTTACAAAGTTTAGAATATGAGTGGTTTTAGCTATGTAGTCACCAAAGTAGGTTCACATTGACTTCATCTTCTCTGTTGAAAATAAGAGAGAAGTGAAGAGAGCTAAGATGATTATATTATAATAACCTAACAAGTCACTAAAAACACTCACCTACACAACTGAGGTTCTGCATTCTGAATGGAATACTAGACATACACATAAAAGCATGAATGAAAGACAGCAAACATTAGATATGAGAAAACCAAAAAGGAGGAGGATTTGGAAACTGAATTGTTAGAGCTTAGATAATATTTTGAAATTAATGGAAAAAACTTGTTTCAGAACTGACAACCAACTTACAAAAAACGAACTAATATCATCGTGAAATGAATAATAAGAAAAATCGAGACTAAAGAGAGAATATAAAGAGGGAAAATGAAAACAAACAATCAAATCAAAGTTTAATAAAATAAAAAAGATCCAAAACTTACATAGAATATGAGCAAGATATAAAAATGTATGTTTAATCGGAATTTAAATAAAGAAAACCAAATAAAGCAGAATGAACTCTGAAATATACAGTTCTAGAAAACTTCCTTAAAGAACACAAACATAAATACTGAAATTGCACAGTGGTGAATTAGAAAAACTAATCAAGAATAGAAGTCACTGATATATAATCCAGTAAAATTACTCAAAATTTAAACAAAAAAGGAAGAAAAAAGAGGAGGCATTCAGGCAAAAATGTAGTATTTAAAAGAAAATAAAAAGCAAAAAGCAGATTAACATCAGACATATAGACAATTGATATCTGCAGACAATGAAGCAAACATACTAAAGAAAATACAGGGAGACACAGATTAATATCTAGTCAAACAGAATTACAGGAATAAAGTTCACAGACAAATAATTTTAAACATGCAGCAATTAAGGGTGTACTATTTCCATGAGCACTTCTGGGAAGTCTAAGTAATGAGCTCATGTGCACAGGAAATGATAGGAGAAGCTTTGACATAATGTCTAGGGGTGGATAAGGATACATTTAAATAGAAATGTTAATGATGGGAATAAAAAAGTCAATATAGTATACAGATGATGTGTAGTCTAAAATAAAAATTAGAAGGATTTAAAAACGAGGAAAGAAAAATAAGGTTATATAAAATTATAATAAGTTTGCTAACAGCTTCCTGCATGTAAAGAGAAATAAACACAGATATCACTCTTTAATATGTGGGAAACGAGGATGGGTAGCAGATGTTTCAGGTTATCTTTATAGAAAGAAAAAAATGGTATCACAAAAGAGGAAACTACTTTCCTAAATATAACAAAGAAGAAGAAAACTAACGAAATAATACCTTGATCACTTGAATACATATATATGTGCTCTCTCTCTCTCTATATATATACACATATACCTCATATACATACACATAAGCATAAAACCATATCACCTCATTGATTCCAAATATAACTTTCATATAAATAAATTTAAAAGCTTAACTTACTAGCTTATAATATTTTAGGTTGATCAATGAAGTGAAATCTATTCTGTATAATAGTGGTACATCTGAAACTACAACTAGAAAGGTTACAAAAACGACGTACAAGGTTACAACAGGAGAATGCAAATGGGGTCAATATTTTCATATACCAAACAAGGTATAATCAAGCCAAAGAACCTATGAAAATGAAGACTATTTTATAAGGCAAAAGGTGACTTTCATAAGAAACATTTAACAGTTATTAATAATTATGCACTAAATAACTCACCGATTTTCATAAAGCAAAAATTTGAGTAGATTCAAGAAGACAGACAAATGTTAAATTATATAAAGCTTCCTATCTCTCTCAGTCCAAGTCATATACAATCATAATATTTAGTCAGTATGTATATAGAACTTACAAAGAAAAGTTAATGAAACTGTTCTTATATATCAAACTCCAGATCTAACAATAGAAAATAGACCTGTTCTCAAATGCATAGGAAATATTCTCAAAAATTTAACAAATATTCAATTATAAAGAAAATCTTTTTTGCAAATACTGTATTTATGAAAATAGAATTCTCTGACTATATGGCAATAAACTATTTTGATTAAAATATCTAAATGCTTGTACTTGGAATACAAAAATTATTATACCTGGAACGTCAAAGAAAAATACAAGTTTGAAACAAAGCAAAGCAAAACCAAACAAAAAATCCAACTATTAGTTACATTTTAGTCAAAGGAGAAATAAAAATATTTTATGACTTTTAGAAAATAACCATTATTTGAGAATGACATTACATATTGATATGAGTAGGTTAAAGCAATGTCTCAACAAAATTCATAATGATAATTAGTAATAACTAGAATAAGTGCATAAAAATACAGCATATATTAAATGTGGCATTCCAAATTTTTTAGGAAAACAACTCTATTTAAAACCAGTGCTGGGGCAAATGGCGTACAATATGGAAAAAACAAGTTAGAACTGTCTGTACACCAAATATCACAATAAATTTCAAAGGAAAAGGAAACCTAAAAGAAAAAAAAAAGAAAAACTAAATCAAAGTTCTGTAACTACTTACAGAAGCCTTTAAGATAATTTTAAAATCTGAAAGTTAATTTAAATTCAAGCAGTTATAAACGCCCTTTCAAGATATATTGGAAATCCAAACATTCATTCCGTTTGTGGTGATAGACAGGATTGGCAATTTGAAACCCTCAGGAGACAGAACTGACCAGAATTGATGAACAATTTGATAACAGGATTAGAGAAAAGTAATTCTGGGTTTTAAACAATTTGCTAAAAGTACATACTATAGCTCCTTCTTTCTTCCCCTGACCCTCCTCTCCCTTCAAATAAGATACATATTATACTATTTTAACAAAAACATTATAATGGAAATAAATGTAAAATGATGAGAGAGAGTTAAAGGGAGTGCTGGGCAAGTTGAGTTTGGTAGGATTGTAGTACTACTCAAATGGATTCAGATATAGATACACAAGTGGCATTTAGCTATATGGAGATGAAAGTTTAGGTTGTAAGAGCAAAATTAAATACCAAGAGTGATGGTGTAGACTTAACAGAGAATGAGGTTTTATTACCTGTCGTTTCCCAGGACTGTTGTAACAAATTGCCAAAACATGGTAGCTTCTAACAACAAAAATTTATTCTCTCACACTTCTGGAAGCTGGAAGTCTAACATCAAGGCATTGGCAGGTTGGTTCCTCTGCAGGCTCTAAAAGGCAAGGTTCCTCGACTCTTTCCTAGCTTCTGGTTGCTGCTGGCATTCCTTGGTGTTCCTTGGCTTGTAGCTGAGTAACTAATCTCTGCCACTGTCCTCACATGATCTTCCACTCTGTCTCACTCTTCTGTATGTATATGTCTCAAACATCCCACTGTGTTCTCATATAAGGATCTCATTTTGAATTTAGAGGCCATCAATCCAAGATGATCTTATCTGAAGAAGAGTATCTGCAAAGATCCTATTTTCAAATAAGATTACATTCACAGGTACCAGGTGTTAGGAGTTAGGCATATCTTTTTTTCGGAAGGAATGCCATTCAACACATAATAAATGACTACGAAATATTTTGTCACCATTTTATACAGCAGATATTAAAAGAAAGAGAAGCTAGAAATTCAGATTGAGTGATACGGTTTACAATCATAGCCAGTTCTATGTAGTCCAAAAAGAATTTTTTTTTTCAGAAGGGGGGCTGAGAACAGGACTGAGCAGACACACAGCATCATGCCAGGCAATGCAATTAAAATATGTGTTATAAAATGAGCTTTGTCCTCAAAAGTCTTCAGACAGAGTCAACATCATTTTCAATATGGTTCAAGTCAAAAATAATCTTAAAGAGTCTTTTATCACAATGTTATTTTAATTGGTGATTAGCCTTTGTTACATTGTTGTTGTTGTTGTTGTTGTGACAAAGTCTGGCTCAGTCATCCAGGCTGGAGTAGAAGGGGCATGATCTCAGCTCACTGCAACCTCCGTCTCCCGGGTTCAAGCAATTCTCCTGCCTCAGCCTCCCTAGTAGCTGGGACTACAGGTGCCTGCCACCATGCCTGGCTAATTTTTGTATTTTTAGTAGAGATGGGATTTTCGCCATGTAGGCCAGCCTGGTCTTGAACTCCTGACCTCAAATGATCTGCCTGCCTCAGCCTCCCAAAGTGTTGGAATTACAGGCGTGAGCCACCACGCTAGGCCTAGCCTTTGTAACTTTAGCATTATGTTTACTTCTATATTGTGATAATTACCAAAGTAAAACTACTATAAGCAATTTTGTAAACATGAGTTATATGCATTATTCTTCTGAAGCCAAAAGAAAAAACTAATTCATTTTTAGTAAATAAAAAGATTAGCTTTTAAAAGTGAAAACATTGGCTTTTCTTTACGAATTCTGTTCATTACTTCTGGAAGAGTCTGCTTTAATGGGTCAATCTTGTTATGCCCACTAATCTTGGGGAAGGAAAAGAAAACTCTTTATTTTAAGACCAAATACCCAGTTGATACTGGGATGGGAATTAAGAAATTCCCTGGAGATCATTGATGGTCGGATGGGATTGAGGTCAGTGAGTTGCTCCCTGACACGTGGAGGTATGGTATTAAGCACAGGAAGACTGAGAAAAGGCTTTTAGTTTTTATTTGGTGTATAGTTTGCAAGAATGACTACATTTTTCTTTTCTTTTCTTTTTTTTTTTTCGGATGGGGTCTCGTTCTGTTGCCCAGACTAGAGTGCAATGGCGCAATCCTAGCTCACTGCAACCTCGGTCTCCCAAGTTCCAGCGATTCTCCTGCCTCAGCCTTCCAAGTAGCTGGGATTACAGGCATGCACCACCATGCTTGAGTATTTTTCTTTTTCTTTTTCTTTTTTTTTGTATTTTTAGCAGAGATGGGGTTTCACCAAGTTGGCCAGACTGTTCTGGAACTTCTGACCTCAAGTGATCCGCCCACCTCGCCATCCCAAAGTGCTAGGATTACAGGCGTGAGCCACTGAGCCTGGCCAACAATGACTACTTTTAGTAACTGCAATTTATCCCACCCCAAACTTGTAGAAAATAGCAAAGAAAAGTCAATGTTCCATTCCTAAGGCCATGGTGGAACAATCAGCCACTGACTCCAGGAACAGCATTAAGCCTCCCAAAGAAGGCAGCAAAAACATGATGGAAACTGTGCCTGAGACTACAACAGATGAATTACAGGAGAGACGAAGTCGATATCTCACTGTCAGGGCTATGTGTAACCAGAGAGCTTTGGGTAATGTGAAGGCTTTATCCAGTCATTTCCAAAAAGAACAAGAATGAAAAATACAGTGGAAGTCTTAGGTTCCCCGAATTACACATAATGGACAATTTTATTACAAGCATATTGGATTAAAAAAATCATATCATAAATATTCAGACCGACAAAACGTAAGACATGTAGCTAATATTTATTTTTAATTGTCAGAATTTCAAATTTTTAATGTATACCTGTGAGGGATAATCATATATTTAGCTTCTTGAAATGGATTGGAATTTATATTTTTCATAAATGTAAAGGTATCTCTCTTTTTTCCTGAAACTAAGATTGCTAAAGGCAGAGGTAAATATTGCCTTAAACAATGATAAGAAAGACATTAGGCAAAATAGCTAATTATTGACTAAATTCATCCTTCCTTTTCTCTAAATTAACTGATATTGCCTTGCATTTTAAGTTATTTTTTCTGAGTAAAGAAAATATGACACCTGTCTTTGTCTTTCATATACATTTTTATTCATTTTTTCTCTTTGTGTCAAATACATTTTTAAAAGAAAGAAGCTGAGATAATTAGATGCATCAGCCTTACAGAATTTTAAAAGAAATCCTCTCATAAATTGTTTTCAGTGGCTAGAGTATTTAGTGCTCCAATAAAATTAGAAGATGATGCCCATTTCAAAATTTGATATAACATATCAATGCAAGGTAATAAGATGTTTATAAGGAAAACTATTAGAACACCTAAAAGGAGATTTCATTGCAGTGGGCTTAATTTCTAGAAAATAAATCGTCTCTCAGATTTTCATGATAATTACACACGTAAATAAATACCCAAATGTGTCAGATAACTACAATATACAATAAGCTTATTAAACTTGTTTTTAAAGCAGATTTATTTATTTTGAACGTGAAATAAAATATTTTGAGTTACATAAATAATTCATGGTGACATTGAGAAAAAGATGGTTTCTATATTGCACACTGTCTCTGATTTCCAGCTGTCATTCTTCATTAGATCGTGTTGAATCTATCATCAAGCTGCAGCAGTCAAGACCCAATTGCTCAAAAAAGCCTTTGGCATGAGATTCCACAGAACATGGAAGGTAGAAGTTAATATACCTTAGTATGGAAACAGATAATTTTATTATAGTTGTTATTATTATATGTTGTCAAGTAGAGAAATTACAGGGAAGCAAATGATATAAATGCCTTATGAGTAATAAATTGTGAGGGGGACAGTATGGCAGATAAGAATGAATTAACCTTGTTTCACTACTTGTAAGATATATACGATTTTATTTTTTCCAATAAAAATAGTTCAACATTATGCTTATAAATGCACGTTTTAGTTTTCTTGGTCAAGAAAGTACAAACCTAGGTTTTTTCTTTTACATTATGTAAGTTTTAATAAGACATTGTCATAGGCACAGTTAAACTATAAATTAAATTTAACTCAATGAATAAGAATTCTGTAACATATTCACTTAGTCAAAGCAAATAACTAATATGACACACTGCATTACAAAATTTATTAATAATGGGGCTGGTGGTAAAACACTAGAACATCCTTGAATTTATTTCAAAATAAAAAGGGAACTTCTAGAGTGAATGAAGAATTCAACGACTTGTCTAACACACACTTTTTTTTTACTTGCCATAAGAATATTTTATTTTATTTTTCATCAACTTTTATTTTAAGTTCCAGGGTACATGTGCAGGATGTGCAGGTTTGTTACATAGGTAAACAGCACACACTTTTTAATACCTAAGTGCCTACACTGTAACTAGTAAACTGATAAATAAGACACTTTCATTGTTTCCATTCAATAAACCGGCAGAAAGAAAAATAATTATAACAATATTACAAACTCTATGGTAAAGCTATAGTTTATATGCAGTTAGAAAGAACGAAAATAATTATTTTTGTTAATGAGAAAAGACTTGAAAGAAACAGTGACATTTAAACTTGGTATTGAGATGAAGGCACAAAAGTAGACTGAGAATAAATTATGAAGATTTTTAAAATATACTATGAAAACTTGGGAGTCAAATAAACTCTTTAAACGAATAGGTGACATAAGCTGATTTGCTTTCCATAGTAATCAATCTGGTCTCAGTTATAGGTGATGCATGTGCACAGACAGAAACTGGGAACAAGGCTTTTGCATAAGTTCAGACAATAGAAGATTAGAAGCTCAACAAAAATGGTAGAGATTGAAATGCAGAGGAGAGAAAGATTCAACAGTGATAAGTAATGTTAGAGGCAGAATCTGTACAATTTAGTGAAAAATAAAATATAAGTATTTCAAAGAATAGATAAATAAAATAACAAATATAGGATGAATATACATATAAATGGAAACAAATAACTTTTAGGTGTATTTTTTGGGGCTTTCATCTACAGAGATCCAACAGAAAGTTTTTTTTAAAAAATGCACTGGCTTATTTCACTTAGCATAGCATCCTCAAGATTCATGCGTGTTGTTGCATGTGACAGGTTTTCTTCTTTTATGACTGACTAGTATACTGTTATATGCATATACTAAATTTTCTATGAGATATCTAAAGTAATCAAGCTCACAGAAGCAGAAAGGAGGACAGTGGTTGCCAGGGACTGGGAGGAGAGGGAAATAGGGATTTGCTCTTCAATGGGTATAAAATTTCAGTCACGCAAGATAAAATAGTTCTAGGGATATGTTGTAAAACTGTGCTTATAGCTAACAGTATGGTACTGTAACCTTAAAATTTTGCTAAATGGGTAGATCTCACGTTATATGTTTTGTTAACCATAATAAAAAATACACTGTATGGTGGAACAATACAGTCACTGTGGTTTGTGGGTTTGTTTGTTACAACATGGAATTTAATAATATATAACACAGGAAATAAATACTCTCATTATCCTACTTCTAAGATATATTAATCAATGTCTTAACATAATCAATATTTATTTCTCACTCACCCAAAACTTGATGTAGGCTATGTAGTCCTTGTCTATCTTTTAACTTCTCAATCTGGAACATAGGGTCTCCAAGGTCATTACTGGAAGTTTGTATTAGAATTTTTAAGAGGACCAGTAGTGGAAATGTCTTTCACTGCTTTCATCCCACATCTTGTGTAGGGCCCAAGTACATGGAAACTGCAAGAAAGGCTGAGAAATAACTTCTTGTGGGTCTAGGAAGAGAAAGTGATAAACTAAGTATATAGTAACACATCTGTCACATCACAAATAATTACTAATAGTAATCTACTGTATTTAATTCTAGTCACAATTATTTAAAGACTTTCTACATAAAACTACGTGTAAATGGAATTGTGTTATTTTGTTTTTCATTTGTACTGCGTAAAACTCTATCATGGTAATTTTTGTGTACAATAGCCCCCATTATCCACGGCTTCTGTTGCCCCTGGTCAACCACGGTTAGTAATATTAAATGGAAAATCCCAGAAGTAAACAACTCATGATTTATTCATTTATTTATTTGTTTATTTTGAGACAGAGTCTCACTGTGACACTCAGGCTGGAGTGCAGTGGCGCAATCTCGGCTCACTGCAACTTCCGCTTCCCGGGTTCAAGCGATTCTTTGCTTCCAGAGTAGTTGGGATTACAGGTGTGAGCCACCATGCCAGGATAATTTTTGTATTTTTAATAGAGACGGGGCTTCACCATATTGGCCAGGCTGGTCTCGAACTCCTGACCTCAAGTGATCCACCCGCCTCGGCCTCCCAACATACTGGGATTACAGGCGTGACCCACTGTGCCCAGCCAACAGTTCATAAGTTTTAAATTGCCCGCTGTTCATCAGAAAGCTCACTGTCTGGCTCCCGCCCCTTAGTCACTTAGTGAATCATTCTTTTGCCCAGCATATCCACGCTGTCCATGCTACCTGCCCACGAGTCACTCAGCAGTCCTCTTGGTGATCAGATTGACAGATTAAGAGAAGAATGGTGAAGACAGTACAATAAAATATTTTGAGAGAGAAAGAGACTAGATTCATGTAGCTCTCATTGCTGTATATTGTTATAATTATTCTATCTTATCATTAGTTATGGTTAATTTCTTACTGTGCCTAATTTACAAATTAAACTTTTTCAGATATGCATTATATGAAGAAACATAGTATATGTAGTATACATTAAATTTGGTATTATTTTTGGTTTCAGGCAGCCACTGGGGGGTCTTGAAATGTGTCCCCCATGGCTAAGCAGGGGCTACCATAAACAATTTTATTGATATACTTCATTTTTAAATGACAACAGTTATCTCTTTCAATGTAATTCGTTTACCTAATGTTTGAAATGCGGAAAAGATAAGAATCTAGGAAGACCCTTAGATTTGTATTTTGAGTAATCAAGTAGAGAGTTTTGTTATATATTAAAATGGGAAAGGATAGATTGAAAGAAATCGTGAACTCTGTTTTGAACTTGTGATGTTAAGATGCCTATTAGAATGAAAATATTAAGTGGACAGTCCAGGATTTCCATCTGGAATTCAGCCAGTATTTTTTATTCAAATTGACTGATCTAGATTCCACAAATTTGAAATACCACCATACAAATGATGAAATTTCTACATATATGTATAGGTTGGTTCTGCTTTCTATTTTGTTCTATTAAGTCTTTTTTTTCTAGCCCTGTTCATATTCTGATAATTTTATTATTACAATTTTTGGGCATTCTTTATTTTATGATGGTACCTTGCATTTTGTTATTTTCTTTAGAGTGACGTATTTAATCATAAAATGATTTTCAGAACTAATTCCTCAACCTGTTCCCCTTCCAAATAATACATGCAGCATCTTTGAGACTATATTGCCTAATAAAAATCCTTTATATGAATATAAAAATCAAACAGAAGTCCATTTTTAACCTAAGCTCAGTTGAATGGGCTTCTCCTCTTTAAAAATAAATGTCCCCTAAGGCACTGAGTTCTAAATAAAGTTGATGTTAAAAGAGTAGTACAGAAAACTTTTTCAAATACAACTTTCATGTGAATATAACAAAAACTTTCACTTGAATAAAATAAAAGAAAAACACTGAAAAATAAACACAGCTGGTAAAAATAACTGAAATACTTAAAAAACATTGTATTTTAAATCGTAACATTTCATCTTTCTAAGCCAATAGTGTCATTTAATGAAGTGTTAGTTATGATTCTGTAGTGTACGTTATTTATTGCTTACTAAGCATCCACTTTCCCATCCTATGTCCTTACAGAATTTCAAAATTCATTCAGATTTGCATTCTTCTTCACTCTGTTGTGTGTTTCACAGAAGAAGCCCACAACCCCATAAGTATGCTATTCTCTTTGCCTGTGCCTGTTTTGCCATGAGCATGTGGCACAGTTATGAACAAACACACGTTAGAAGAAGTTGTTTACAGGGTTCAGATAAGACTATATAAACACAACATTTCTTCTTCCTTTGGAGATTTTTAAAAAATTGAATTGATGCCTCGATGTGTCTGAAACTCCTAGAACTATTATGGTAACTCTGGCATACAGAAAATGACAACATACAAAACATACACCTGAGGTTTTGATGATATTTTAAAATCAGAAATAACTTATAATGGTAAGGACCTACCTCCCAACATCTAAATAATATGAGGAAATTTTGTTCTCTATTTTCTTTTATTTGCAGCTGAAATTGTTCTCTTTGTTTGTTTGGCTGAGCACAGGGGACTTTATTGATGGTACATGACAAGGTGAGGCTCCCTAGGCCCCTCCCTCTTCAAAGGGTCTGCATGGAAACTGTGAGGAGGGGAGATTCTCAGTGTGGTGGGGGACTGAATGTGGCAGGGACTCCCCAGCAGCTGAGGGCCTCTTTTTGTATCTTGTGCTCTCCCTGGGGCTGGTGGTCTGGGGGTCTTACTCTTTGGAGGTCAAGTGGACCATGAGGTCTATCACCCTGTTGCTGTTGCCAAATTCATTGTCATACCAGGAAATAAGCTTGACAAAGTGGTTGTTGAGGGCAATGTCATTGCCCTCATTGACATTGAAAGCAGAAGAGTGGGTGTTGCTGTTGAATTCGGAGGAGACAACCTGGTGCTCAGTGTAGCCCAGGATGCCCTTGAGCGGGCCCTCCGATGCCTGCCCCACCACCTTCTCGATGCCATCATATTTGGCAGTTTTTCCCAAACAGCAGGTCAGGTCCACGACTGACAGTTTGGCGGTAGAGACACAGAAGGCCATGCCAGTGAGCTTCCCATTCAGCTCAGGGTGACCTTGCCCCTGTTCTTGACAGTGCCAGTAGATGCAGGGATGATGTTCTTTAGAGCTCCACGGCCTTCATGCCACAGTTTCCTGGAAAGGCCATCCACAGTCTTTTGGGTGGCAGTGACTACATGAAATGTGGTCATGAGTCCCTCCACAATGACAGTTGTCATGGATGACCTTGGCCAGGGGTGCTAAGCAGTTGGTGGTGCAGGAGGTATTGCTGACAATCTTGAGGCTGTTGTCATACTTCTCATAGTTCACGCCCATCACAAACACGGGGTCATCACTAGAGGCGGCAGAGATGATGACCTTTTTGGCTCCCCCTGCAAATGAGCCCCAGCCTTCTCCATGGCGGTGAAGACACTGGCGGACTCCACAACACATTTAGTGCCAACATCACCCCATTGGATTTTGGTAGGATCTTGGTCCTGGAAGATGATGATGGGATTTCCATTGAAGACGAGCTTTCCATTCTCAGCCTTGACTGTACCATGGAATTTGCCATGGGTGGAATCATACTAGATCATGTAGACTATGTTGTTGAGGTCAATGAAGGGGTCATTGATGGTGACAATATCCACTTTACCAGAATTAAAAGCAGCCCTAGTGACCGGGTGCCCAATATAGTCCAATCCGTTGGCTCTGGCCTTCACCTTCACCATGGTGTCTCAGGGAAGAGGCTGGTGGTGCATGAGAAGATGCAGCTGTCTGTCGAACCAGAAGAGCAGAGAGACTGAAATTGTTCTTAATGATTACAAGTACAAACCGAAATGCCTTAAATGATTTTAAAAGCTTTCTTGAATTATTAACAGTTCATTTCACCTAGGGGGCAGTGATGAGCTGGGGAAAAAAATGACCACATTGGTACAGTATACTGAAGTGCAGGTTGCCACTCTCACTCTTGCAAATAATTTTAATTGCTCTCCTAAATTGTCTGTCTTGGAAAAAAATTTTGAGTTGAATAAATTTCCAAATATTCATGTTTCTCTAGCAACTCACCAACAGCAATTCCAAATTGGTTGATTATATGTTGACATTCATTAAAATATTAGAAGAAAATTAAACATTTAAAATTTGGTAATTTGATATTTTTTACACCTGATGTGGTGTTGGCCTTCAATTTTTCACAACTGCTTAAACTAACTGCAGTTGATTCTCATTATTCACAGAGTCCATATTTGTAAATTCCCCTATGAGCTAAAGCTTATTTGTAATCCTGAAATTAATACTTGAGGTGCTTTTGCCATCATTTGCGAACATTCACAGAGCAGCAAAAAATTTGATTTGCCTGATATACAACACCTAAGGTAGAACAAGGTAACTTTCTGTCTTCTTGTTTCAATTCTCATATCCTAATCAGTGACATTTCTGAGCTCTCTTTGTGCAGTGTTCTTTGCACTATTTGGTTTTCACTAGTGACTTTACACCTTCAAATGCTTCTCCCCCTCAGCCTAGTGCTGAATTGCTTTCTAGTACTCCTGAGTGCAAGAAGACTGTGATCTGCTACATGGAGAAATCAGGTGTATTAGATGATCTCTGTTCAAGCACAAATGATAGTGTATTGGCTGTGAGTTCAATGTTAATGAATCAACAATAATTATTAAATAAGGTGTCTTTAGACTGAAGCACTCATAAAACAATGTTATGTGTTGATTGGTTGATGAAAATGTGTAGCCAGAGTGCACAGGACACTAACCCTGTATTTTCCATAGGGGCTTAGTATTCTCTAAGTCAGTGTTTTTGGTGAATTTATAGAACATAACTACTATGAATAGTGAAATTCACCTGCATGTGTGTATATATTATTTTGCATAATATTTATATACTGTGTATATATTATATTTTACATCTATATAAATCAATATATATAAATTTATCCTTTTAATAAATTAAGTTACATTTTGGACAAATATTGATGTTAGTTTCTAGTAAAGTTTTCCATCTTACATAGCTTTTTTCTATTTTTCATTTGGAGTTTTGATTAAACTACTATAATTCTATGGTGTTTCTATTCTAATTTATTACTGTACCGATTTACATATAAAGATATTCTGAAATTATAACACATTTGAATTCTTAGAGTAAACAATACTTGGAAATACACAGAATACATTTTACATAGATATTCATCAAAATATAGACGGCAAGCAGAAATATATGCAGATTATTACACCACTATATTAATTAATTACAATTTTCTTTACAAAAAACACAAAATCAATATTCAGATGAATAAGCAATATTAGTGAGACAACCAAAAGCCTCTGACATGCCCCTTCCCAGACACTACTCTACACCCAAAGTAGCTGCAATATTGTCATTTAAGACCACAGCTTGTGTTTACATTTATATAAATAAAATCACAGGGTATAAACATAAACTTCTAATGCATTTTTTGTTGAGAATTATGTTCTGGAGATTCATGCATATAGTTGCATATATTTTGTGTTTTTTAAATTGTAGCTCATCAGGAAATTCTTGAATCTTCTCTATCAGATACATAAGGGAAAGTTACCCAATTATCCATTTCATTCTCTTGTGTAACATTAAATCAAATTTAATGAGAATGAATCTTAGTCTACGGATTCAGTTGAGCAAGAACAGCAGCATTAACAAGTAAAATTTTATTTAACTCAAGTTCTAAATTAGTGCTCTCATTCTTCCTTGTCCTGTTTTATTGCATTATCCTAAGATAATTCAGCACATTACTAATGAGGAAAGGCTACATCTGAGCTTTAGTCACAGATCAACAAAGGTTGTGGCTCGAATGCCCATTATCCCTGTTCTATCTTACTCCTGTGCTCATAACCACTTATAGTTTGAAAATAACCTGCTAGTTCTGTGTCATGATTAGGGCACAGGAGGAGTTTTCTCTGACACTACCTATAATCCTCCATGTTCAATTGTGTTACATAGGAATTTCCCTTCTGACCTCATCAATCTCTCACAGTGATGCTAAGCACAACATACGCTACCTTTATATTAAAGACCTTTAGAATATTTCCTCTTATTTTTCTCTTCTTAACCAGTCAGACTAATATCCTTTCAATTTCATGATCATTTTTTGCCCTTCATGTGTTTTCAAGATATTGTGCTCTTATATCCCCTTCATTTTATCACTCTGCACACATTTTGAGGTCCTTTTGAACTTAGACATTTTGCTGGGAAAAGCCAGCAAGACATGAAGGCAACTTCATTTTGCTCTCCCACATGCTTCCTCTTAGATAACGAATTAGAGAACAATCTATGAATTTAAATGTGTGGATAAAATAAGTAATTAAATATTGTTAATAAGCATACATATTTTAAATCTTGAATTTTTTCTTATTAGCCCACTAAATTTTACTGAAGATACAGAAATAGGATAAAGACAAAAATTAATTGTGAGAAAAAAGCATACAAACTTACCAATGCTTTAAATCCAGGTGTGGAGACAACCTTTTGATAGCTTCTGGTGAACTTCCTGAGAAACGATGTTTCATCTGGGGTAAAGAGACTGGACTGAAGAGATGTGAAGGTAGTTTCTCACTCCAAACTCTGATTATTCCAAATATTAAATATTATTGCACCATCTGAATTATCAAAGCTCTCCAAATCCAAAACATTCTAGTAGATTCAATTGCTTCTTCTGAGAGTATATGTATTGGTTTTATAAAAGGTTAAGAGGAAAAAAAGAATCAGAGTAGATTTAAGCTAATGCTGTCATGTAGAATAGAATGCTGAGGTTCAAAAAGGGTGAATGACAAAACTGAGTCTAAAATATTAGCATCAACGGTATGGCTTTTTATATATTGACTTCCGTTTTGCTCCAAGGCAAAGCATTTTGAAATTATATTAATTGTGTGTAAGTTAACCTTTGAAGAATGTATTCTTAATTCTATATGTATTTTTTAAATCATGTTATATTATCTGAAGTTGAAAAACTTATTCTCAAATAGTTGAAACTTATTTCTTGCAGGTAGAAATCCATTCATTTAATTAATAAAATATTGAATAATTACTAATAGTTAATAAGCTAAAAATATAAGTGGCTATTATTATAAATATATCAGTTTAATACTATAACCCTAAATAATTTATCTCCTGAAATTCTAAAAAGATTTTTAGAAACAAAAAGAGTATCATATCTTAACTTCTTTATATCTGTTATCACATTTCCTAGGAAACCACATTATAAATATGCAATTTTAAAACTAACTTCCCTTAAGATACATATGTAAATGATATGGTTGCTAATCAAATCAGACTTCATCCATTATTTCTTGTTGCATAACAATTTAAAGCATAATTTTGTTTTATATATCAACAACATTTTCATTCTGGGAAATAGCTTCATAATATATACTAAGACCATATAAAATGAATTATTATTGCAACTAAGCGTGTACTGTGAAATGGCTTAGCAAAACACTAGCTTGCATATCATATTCTTGTCCTGCTTAACAACTGCAATAAAATAGAAATGATAAGGCCATAAAGAACAGTGTAGAATTAGAAACAGTAATCACTGTGCATTACATTACCATTTGATATGATGAACTGTAGCTTGCTGAGAGTAATCTTAATGAGGATTACAGTAGATATATTAAAATATATATGTGGCCTTCTATTAACAATAAGACACTCAAATGTATTTTTTTGCATCTATATTTCCATGCTACATTGTAAAGGCTGTTATTTTAATTAACAGGACTTTGAAAATCCATTTGATTAGAAATTTGAATGCCAAGTTAAACCATCAATAAAATTAATCAGAAACAACATACTGAGCAAATGCAGAAAATTTCAATGGTTTTCAATTTTTATTGTGAAGGCAAATTAAATTTAACTGAAAAGATGTATCATCATGTACTGACATTCAGAAAACTATCCAAGACTTAGCCATTGGCTCACCAGCTGGATAACTTGCTTTTATGAGCATCTATTCTCACAAGATGAGCAGGACATGCAGTTGTGTTTAAAAACTCAAGCAATCATATAATTAGTGCTATATATTTTCTGCCTTGCTATCAAAGAATCTAAATGTATCGTATTATTTAGGACTCTTTCAGTTAAATATGTCAGAGATCCTAATCTAACTAGGGCTAAAGTTTGAAGGAAAGGGATTGGGTTTTTGAAGGAAAGGGGTTGAGTTTCTCTTATTCTGTAGACTGCTTATTGATAATTTATTTTGCTGTGCAGAAGTTCTTTAGTTTAGTAAGGTCCCTGTGTTAGTTGGCTTTGTGTCACTATAAAGAAATACTTAAGGGTGGATAATTTATAAAGAAAAGAGGATTAACTGGCTCATGATTTTACAAGCTATACAAGAAGAAGCATGGTTCCAGAATCTGCTCAGCTTCTGCTGAGGGCTCAGGAAGCTTTCAGTCATGGTGAAAAGTGAAGAAGGGGCAGGATTGTCACATCGTGAGAGTGAAAGGAAGAGAGAGAAGGAAGAGATGTTATACATTTTAAAACAACCAGATCATGCATGAACTAACAGAACAAGAATTCACTCATCATCAAGGGGATAGTGCTAAGCCTCTCAGGAGGCATCCACGCCCATGACAATACCTGCCACTAGGCTCCACCTTAAACATTGGGGATTATATTTCAACATGAAATTTTGAGGAGACAAACATCCCAACAATATTAGTTCCACTTGTTAATATTTGTCTCTATTGGAATTGCTTTTGGGGATGCAGCCCCCCAATTTTTTGCGTACAAGGATGTGAAGAAGGGTATTGCCTAGGTTTTCTTCTAGGATTCTTATTGTTTGAGGTCTTACATTTAAATCTTTAATCCATCCTGAGTTAATTTCTGTATATGGTGAAAGGTAGGAGTCCAGTATCATTCTTCAGCTTGTGGCTATCCAGGTATTCCAGCAACATTGATTGAATAGGGGGTCCTTTCTCCATTTCTTGCTTTTCTCAGCTTTGTTAAATAGCAGATGGTTGCAGATTTGTAGCTTTATTTCTAGGTTCTCCATTATGTTCTATTGGTCTATGTGTCTGTTTTTGTACCAGTACCAAGCTGTATTGGTTAGTGTAGCCTTATAGCATAGCTTGAAGTCAGGTAGTGTGATACTTCTCTGGCTTTGTTCTCTTGGGTTAGGATTCCTTCAGCTATCTGGGTTCTCTTTTGGTTTATATGAATTTTGGAATAGATTTTTCTAATTCTGTGAAAAATGTCATGGTAGTTCGATAGGAATAGCATGGAATCTGTAAATTAGTTTAGGCAGTATAGCCATTTTAACAACATTGATTTCTTTAATCCATGAGTATGAAATGCTTTTCCCTTTATTTTTGTCATCTCTGACTTCTTTGAGCATTGATTTGTAATTCTCTGTGTAGAAATCTTTCACCTATTGGGCTATCTGTATTCCTAGGTATTTATTTTTTTATTTATGATTATTATAAATTGGATTGTGTACTTGATTTGGCTCTCAGATTGAACATTACTGGTATAGAAATATTACTAATTTTTGTACATACATTTTGTATCCTGGAAATTTACTGAAGTCATCTACCAGTTCTAGAAGCCTTTTGGTAGAGTCTTTAGGGTTTTCTAGGTATAGAATCATATCGTCAGTGAAGAGAGATAGGTTGACATATTCTTTTCATTTTTGGATGCCTTTTCTTTCTTCCTCTTGTCTGATTGCTCTGGCTTGGATTTCCAGGACTATGTTGATAGGAGTGGTTGGAATTGATATCCTTACCTTGTTCTGATTCTCAAGAGAATGCTTCCAGCTTTCACTCATTCAGTATGATACTGGCTATGGGTTTGTCACAGACAGCTCTTATCATTTTGAGGTTATGATAGCTCTTATTATTTTGAGGTATGCCCCTTTGATGCCTAGTTTCTTGAGGGTTTTGTCATAAATGTATATTAAATTGTATTGAAAGATTTTTCTGCATCCATTGAGATGACCATATATTTGTTTTCAATTGTTTATGTGGTGAATCACATTTATTGATTTGTGTATGTTGAACCTGCCTTGCATTTCATGAATAAAGCCCACTTGATTGTGGTTTATTATCTTTTTGATGTGGTGTTGGATTAAGTTTGATAGTATTTTGTTGAGGATTTTTGATCCTGTGTTCACAAGGGATATTGGTCTGAAGTTTTAGTGTTCTGTTATGTTGTAGCCAGATTTTGGTATCAGGCTGATTTTGGCTTCATAGAGTCAGGGGGGAGCCTCCCTCTTCAATTTTCTGAAGTTTTTTCAGTAGGAGTAGTATCTAGGTATCTAGATAGGTTGCTGGGTAAAATGGTACAACTATTTTTAGTTCTTTGAGAAATATCCATACTGTTTTCCATACAGACAATACTAATTTAGATTCCCACCAACAGTGTATAGGCATTCCTTGTTCCTCATAGCCTCACTAGCATCTGCTATTTTCTAACTTTTTATAGAATAGCCATTGTGACTGGTGTAATACTGTATCACACTGTGGTTTTCATTTGCATTTCTGTGATGATGAGTGATGTGGAGCATTTTTTCATATGTTTGTTGGTCACTTGTATGTCTTATTTTGAGAAATGTGTATTTATGGCGTTTGGCCACTTTTTAATAGGTTTATTTGATTTTCTTTTCTGGAGTTGTTTGAATTTATCCTAGATTCTGGATATTTGTACTTTCTCAGATGCATGGTTTGCAAGTATTCTCTTTCATTCTGGAGATTGTCTATTTACTATGTTAATTATTTCTTTTGATGGGCAGATGTTGTCTAGTTTAATTAGATGTGCAGAAACTTTTTGATTTCATTAAGTCCAATTTGTCTATTTTTATTTTTGTTGCATTTGCTTTTGCGATCTTAGTCAAAAAGTTGTTGCCTAGGCCAATGTCCTGAAGAGTGTTTTCTAGGTTTCCTTTGGGGATTTTTATAGTTTCAGGTCTTACATTTAAGCCTTTAATCCACTGTGAGTTAATTCTGCATATGGTAAGAATTAGAGATCCAGTTTAATTCTGCCACACATGGCTATTCAGTTTTCCCAGCACCGTTTACTACATATGGTATCCTTTCCCACTGTACATTTTTTTTTTTTTTGACGAAAGTCAGTTGGTTGTAGGTATGTGGCTTTATTTCTGGATTCTCTATTCTGTTACATTGATCTATGTGTCTATGCTCATATCAGTACAATGCTGTTTTGGTTACAATAGCCTTGTAATATAATTTAAAGTTAGCTAACGTGATGCATCCAGCTTTGTTCTTTTTGCTTATGATTTCTCTGGCTCTTTACGTTCTTTTTTGGTTCCATATGAATTTTAGGATTTTTTTTTCTAATTCTATGAACAATAGCATTGGTAATTTGATAGGAATTGCCTTGAATCTGTAAATTGCTTTAAGCAGTATGGTCATTTTAATAATATATCCTTTTAAAAAGTGAGCGTGGGATGTTTTTTTCATTTGTGTCATCTACAATTTCAGCAGTGTTTTGTGGTACACATTGAAGAGCTCTTTCATTTCCTTGGTTAAATGTATTCCTATGCATTTTATTTTATTTTGTGGCTATTATAAATAGGATTGAGTTTTTTTATTATACTCTAGTTCTAGGATACATGTGCAGAATGTGCAGGTTTGTTACATAAGCATACACATGCCGTGGTGGTTTGCTACACCCATCAACCAGCCATCTACATTAGGTATTTCTCCTAATGCTATCCCTCCCTTAGTCCCCCCACCCCTGACAGGCTCTGGTGTGTGATGTTCCCTTCCTCGTGTCCATGTGTTCTCATTGTTAAACTCCCACTTATGAGTGAGAACATGCGGTGTTTGGTTTTCTGTTGCTGTGTTAGTTTGCTGAGAATGATGTTTCTAGCTTCATCCATGTCCCTGCAAAGGTCATGAACTCATCCTTTTTTATGGCTGCACAGTATTCCCTGGTGTATATATGCCACATTTTCTTTATCCAGTCTATCATTGATGGGCATTTGGGTTGGTTCCAAGTATTTGCTATTGTGAACAGTGCTGCAATAAACATACGTGTACATGTGTCTTTATAGTGGAATGATTTATAATCCTTTGGGTATATACCTAGTAATGGGATTGCTGGGTCAAATGGTATTTCTGGTTCTAGATCCCTAAGGAATCACCACACTGGTTTCCACAATGGTTGAACTAATTTACACTCCCACCAACAGTGTAACAGCATTTCCATAGTTAGGGGTGAGTTCTTGATTTTGTTCTCAGCTTTAATGATCTTGTTTTATGAAAATGCTACTGATTTTTATATGTTGATTTTGTACCCTGAAGTCATCATTTTCAAGTTTAGGAGTCTTTTGGAGGAGTGCTTAGGGTTTTCTAGGTATAAGATTATGTCATCTGTAGAAAGAGATAACCTTATGTCATCTTTTCCAACTTTGATGCCTTTTGTTTCTTTCTCTTGACTGTTCGCAATGGCTAGGACTTCCAATACCACATCGAATAGGAGTAGTGAAAATGGGTATTTTGTCTTGTTCTAGTTCTGGGAAATGCTTCAACTTTTCCCCATTTAGTGTGATGTTTGTTGTGGCTGCTTTTGCTGTATCCCAGGTGTTTTGGTATGTTGTGCCTGTAGTGTAACTCATTAACTTTTTTTTATTTCTGCCTTAATATTGTCATTTACTCAAAGATCATTCAGCAGCAAGTTGCTTAGTTTTCATAAATAAATAAATTTGAATAGCTTTTTTTTTTAAACAAATCCTCACGCTGTCATCCAGGCTGTAATGCAGTGGCATGATCTTAGCTCACTGCAGCCTCAATCTTCTGTGCTCAAGTGATCCTCTGGCCTCAGCTTCGCAAGTAGTTGGGACTACAGTCATGTGCCACCATGCCCAGCTAACTGTTTTTAAATTTTCTTGTACAAAAAAGTACAAAATGATGGGGTCTTGCTAGTCTAAAACTCCTGGCCACAAGTGATCCTCTCAGCTCAGCCTCCCAAAGAACTGTGATTATAGGCATGAGTCACCATGCTCAGCCACATTTGTGGAGTTTTGAGAGTTTTTCTTGGTATTGATTTCTAACTTTATATCACTATGGTCCAAAGAGATACTTAATACAATTTCATATTTTTAAAATTTATTGAAACTTGCCTTATGGCCAAACATAGTATCTATTTGGGAGAATGTTCCATGCACAGATGAGAAAAGTGTATATTCTAAAGTTTTTGAGTAGAATGAATGGTAAATGTCTGTTAGGTACATTTTGTCTAGAATCTAGTATAATTCCAGTTTCTTTGTTGATTTTCTGCCTTGTTGATCTGTCTAGTGCTGTTACTAGTGTGTTGAAGTCTTTTGCTATTATTGCATTGCTGTTTATCTCTTTTCTTAGGTCTAGTAGTATTTGTTTTAAGAATATGGGTGCTCCTGTGTTGCATGCATATATATTTTTAGGATAGTAATATCTTGTTGAATTGAAATTGTCATTATTGTATATTGACTTGCTTGTCTGAACTCAACCTCCAGGCTAACAGTTGGCTCTGATAGCCAAGAGCTGCCTGTGGCACAATCAGATGGGTATGAGCTTGATCTTTCTTTAATAAGATGTGCTCTCTGGTGCTTCAGGTGATGGGTTGGTCTGTAGAATGCCCAGTGACCTGAGTTCCCTGTTCAGTCCATGGTCAGGAGGACAAAGCTGGGCAGAGTCATACCAGTGAGCTTTCCCATAAATGTCCCAATGACAAGTGTAGGCACCAGTCCTCTTAGGGGTGGCTGGGGGAAATCCTGGTGAAATATGCTGAGGTCACCTCAGAAGGAGGAAGGCAGCACCGATTCCACTTTTTCTAAAAACGTTTTTGTGTAAAGCAATTTCTCTTTCCTCTGAAACACCTATGGAATTTGAATATCTCTAATACCTTTAGTTACACTGTAGTCCTTAACATCATCTCCACTAATTCTATAATCTTCATAATCATTCAGGACTTGAACAACTGCCTGTATTACTTATGATGTAGCTCCCTATATAAGGCCTTGAATATTCAATACAAGATTGATGAATCAACGAAAGCATTAACCAACTGAAACATTGATATTTGTAAGATGGTATTATTCTTTATATATTCTTACTATGTGGCATTGTGGTTAACTTTTTTTTTTTTTTTTGAGACGGAGTCTCGCTCTGTCACCCAGGCTGGAGGGCAGTGGTACGATCTCAGCTCACTGCAAGCCTTGCCTCCCAGGTTCACACCATTCTCCTGCCTTGGCCTCCTGAGCAGCTGGGACTACAGCTGCCTGCCACCATGCCTGGCTAATTTTTTGTATTTTTAGTAGAGACAGGGTTTCACCGTGTTCGCCAGGATGGTCTCAATCTCCTGACCTCGTGATCTGCCTACCTCGGCCTCCCAAAGTGCTAGGATTACAGGCATGAGCCACGGCGCCTGGCCTTGTCATTAACTTTTTTAAATCAACATTTTATTCTTTTAAAATATCACACGAAATTTAGAAGTCTGCTTCTCTCTGCAATTAGTTCAGTACTTTACTTTTTACCTTTTAGCCTCTTACCTGACCCATCAATCCTGCTGTAATCAGATTTAAGTCTTCTCTGGCTACAGAACCCAATATACACTAAATGTTAACATCTCACAGGTATTCAGCTACTTCAGACAACATATTAAAATGACAAAACACAATCACTTTTGTCTACATTCTAAAATTCACTTGATATAATTGAATTGTAGAAATAAAGGTGAAAACACATTCAGTACATGTTACATCAAAGAAATGTAGAGAAATTTAATGAGTATTGGACAGTACTTTCAAGGAAACCTTAGTATGATTCAGAGAAAATGTTTACTATTTGGACGTAGTGACCTAAACGAAATGCTCGCTTTTTTGATGCCTGCTCTTTATCCTATGTCATGTCACCATTGTTATCAGAACAGCACTTATTTATTGCTCATCCAGAAAAAGATACAATTAACATTGACAACTTAAAATATATGTCCTTCTATTTTGCACAGTAAATTTTGCAAAATACGCATTACTCCTTTTATGTCAATGGTTTCTGAACTCAAACTAGTAATCTGTCATTTTAATGACATTTGAGCTGTCAAAATAATAAGCATTTAATATAAATATTGAAGCTGCTGCTAGAACCCTAAAACAAAGGATTGCTGTAGCAGAATAATTTTCAAAACTCAGATAATAGATATAATAACATACACAGACCAAAAAACAACATTTGGAATTTTTTTCTTGGAAAACAGGGAGGATGTATAAACAGGATAAATCCAAGGTTGATAGTCATAAAGAAGGCTATGTAAACAATTACTTTTATTAAAATCGAGGCTTTAGATGTTAAAGGTGAGAAATAAAGATGAAAGTATCATATAATTTATGACCATAATGCAATATCACATAAAAGCTGTGTATGAAAGATAAAATTATTGTGTAAAAAGAACTAATTAAAATTTTATTTTACCAAGTTTAAACTGAGATACCAATTTAGTCTTCACTAATTTACTGGTTTTTTATTTATTTCACTGCAAAAGGGGTTAAAAATCCCTACATTGCTCCTTCATAGAAAGATTGTACATGCCCAACTCAATATATAGGGAAATGTTTTTAGGCTGTATAAAAGCAAGATACTAATTTTTATTTCTCAGATAGCAAATATATATATATATATAGCTACAATAATTCAGTAGCAATTTCAAGAATTAAAATTTAAGCATAGCTATCTATAGCTTATTTTGCTTATTTTCTTTCAAGTAGTCAGGTAATTTTACAAATAGCATATTTTTCCTAATAATTTGCATTAATTGAAAGAATTTTGAATAACATTTGTAGTATTGTTACATTCTATTGTTGTCTAACATATTTCTGATCATGTGAAATCTAACATAGAATATGCAAATCAATTAAATCTAAAATTTCTGTATTTACTGTGAGTAAACAAAAAATATTTCTCTGAAAATTTTTACAGTGCTTACTGAATGAGTACTATTTTCATTAAAATAAAATCAGTTTTCTGCTGCTGTGTGTAGCAGAGAAACTGGTAATAGGCTAGATCTGCTATAAACAAGTGAGAAACTGGATAAACCACTTTCTGATATTATACAAGAGACATTGAATGATGGGAGCCATTGACGAAACAGAAAGTTACATGGTGAGCCCACGGATAATTTCAACTTTTAAAGGTTTATTTTATTGTTAATTAACACATAATAATGGTAAAAGCTTATAGAGTATGTCGTGATATTTCTAACATGTATACATTGTATAATGATAGAGTCAGGTTAATTAGGTTATCAATTACCTCAAACATTTATCATTTCTTTGTGGTAAGACCATTCAAAATCTTCTCTTCTACATATTTTGAAATGTACAATATAATATTTGAACTATAATCACCCTACTATGTAATACAATACCAGGTCTTATTATTCCTATCTATCGTAATTTTTCACCCTTGACCAATTCTGGTGACCACTTATGCTACTTTCTATTTCATTGGAACCAGATTTTTAAGTTTTGCAGCTGTGTGAGATTATGTGGTGTTTGTCTCTCTGTGCTGCCTTATTTCACTTAGGTTAATGTCCTCTGAGTTTATCCAGGTTGCTGCAAATGACAAGATTTTATTCCTTTTTGTGGCTGAACAGTGTTTCATTGTGTGTGTATATACATATACATATGTATGTGTGTGTATATATATATATATTTCTATGCATTCATTCATTGATGGACAATTAGGTTGCTCCATAGCTTGGCTATTGTGAATGTGCTGCAATAAACATGGAAGTCCAGATATCTCTTTGACATAATGATTTCATCTCTTTTGGATAAACACACAGTAATAGGATTTCAGGATCCATATGGTAGTTCTACTTTTAATTTTTTGAAAATCACCATACTGTTTCTCATAATGGAAGTAATAATTTACATTCCTACCAATAGTATATGAGTTATTATATCTCCACGTTCATACCAGCACTTGTTATTTTTTTGTCTTTTTTAATCTGAATAATATACATTCGGATAGATGTGAAGGGATATTTGGTTGTGGTTTTGAAATTTATCTCCCTGATGATTAGCGACTGATATGGTTTGGGTCTTTGTCCCCACCTAAATCTCATCTTGAATTGTGATAATCCCCACATGTCAAGGGCAGGACAAAGTGGAGATGATTGAATTATGGGGATGGTTACCCCACTCTCCCCATGCTGTTTTCGTGATAGTGAGTGAATTCCAACAAGATCTGATGGTTTTACAAGGGGATTCCACCTTTGCTCAGCACCGCACTCTTCTGCTGCCTTGTGAAGAAGGACCGATTTGATTCCCCTTCCACCATTATTGTAAGTTTCCTGAGGCCTCGCCCGGCAGGTGGAACTGCAAGTCAATTATAACCCTCTTTCCCTTGTAAATTACCCAGTCTTAGGTATAGCAGCATGAGAATCAACTAATACAGTGATGCTAAGCATTTTTTCATAAACTTGCTGCTCATTTGCATGTCTGCTTTTGAGAAATGTCTATTTATTTTGCCTATTTTAAAATCAGAGTGTTTGTTTGCAATTGATTTGTTTGAATTCCTATATATTCTAGATATTAACCTCCTGTAAGATGCATAATTTGCAAATATTTTCTCCCATTTTATAGGTTGTCATTAACTCTGTTGATGTTTTCTTTGTTGTGTACAAGCTGTTTAGTTTTATATAATCTTATTTCTTTAGTTTTGCTTTCTTTGCCTGTGCTTTTGAGTTATTATACAAATATTCTTGGCCAGACAAATTATGTGAAGCACTTTTCACATGTTTTCTTCCAATAGTTTTATAGTTTTTGCATCTTATATTTAAGTATTTAATTCATTTTGAGTTGACTTAAGTATATCTTGAGAGATAGGGGCTTGTTTCATTCTTCTGCATGAGAATATCCAGTTTTCATAGCACCATTTATTGAAGAGACTGTTTTTACTCCAATGTGTATTTTTGTTGCCTTTTTCAAAAATCAATTGGTTGTATGAGTATGGATTGATTTCTGGGTTCCCCATTCTGTTCCATTGGTCTATGTGACTATTTTGCTGATGCCATGCTGTTTTGGTTACTATGGCTTTGTAATATGTTTTGAAGTCAGATAGTGTGACACCACAAGTTTTGTTCTTTTTGCTCAATATAGCTTTGGTTATCTGGGGTCTTCTGTGGTTCCACAGAAACTTTAGAATTTTTTTTCTATTTCTGCAAAAAATGTCATTGGTATATTGATAGGGATTTAACTGAATCTGTAGTTGGCTTTGACTAGTGTGGAGATTTTAACAATATTCCTTCTTCCAAATCATGAAGAAATCATATCTTCTCACTTATTTATATAGTCTTCATTTTCTTTCATCAATACTCAGCTTTCATTGTATATATCATTTACTACCTTGGTTAAATTTATTCACAGGTAATTTTTTGTAGTAATTGTAAATGAAATTGCTTTCTTGATTTTTTTTTTAAATTTTTTTTTATTATACTTTAAGTTTTAGGGTACATGTGCACATTGTGCAGGTTAGTTACATATGTATACATGTGCCATGCTGGTGCGCTGCACCCACTAACTCGTCATCTAGCATTAGGTATATCTCCCAATGCTATCCCTCCCCCCTCTCCCCACCCCACCACAGTCCCCAGAGTGTGATGTTCCCCTTCCTGTGTCCATGTGTTCTCATTGTTCAATTCCCACCTATGAGTGAGAATATGCGGTGTTCGGTTTTTTGTTCTTGCAGTAGTTCACTGAGAATGATGATTTCCAATTTCATCCATGTCCCTACAAAGGACATGAACTCATCAATTTTTATGGCTGCATAGTATTCCATGGTGTACATGTGCCACATTTTCTTAATCCAGTCTATCATTGTTGGACATTTGGGTTGGTTCCAAGTCTTTGCTATTGTGAATAATGCCACAGTAAACATACGTGTGCATGTGTCTTTATAGCAGCATGATTTATAGTCCTTTGGGTATATACCCAGTAATGGGATGGCTGGGTCAAATGGTATTTCTAGTTCTAGATCCCTGAGGAATCACCACACTGACTTCCACAATGGTTGAACTAGTTTACAGTCCCACCAACAGTGTAAAAGTGTTCCTGTTTCTACACATCCTCTCCAGCACCTGTTGTTTCCTGACTTTTTAATGATTGCCATTCTAACTGGTGTGAGATGGTATCTCATTGTGGTTTTGATTTGCATTTCTCTGATGGCCAGTGATGGTGAGCATTTTTTCATGTGTTTTTTGGCTGCATAAATGTCTTCTTTTGAGAAGTGTCTGTTCATGTCCTTTGCCCACTTTTTGATGGGGTTGTTTGTTTTTTTCTTGTAAATTTGTTTGAGTTCATTGTAGATTCTGGATATTAGCCCTTTGTCAGAAGAGTAGATTGCAAAAATTTTCTCCCATTCTGTAGGTTGCCTGTTCACTCTGATGGTAGTTTCTTTTGCTGTGCAGAAGCTCTTTAGTTTAATTAGATCCCACTTGTCAATTTTGTCTTTTGTTGCCATTGCTTTTGGTGTTTTAGACATGAAGTCCTTGCCCATGCCTATGTCCTGAATGGTAATGCCTAGGTTTTCTTCTAGGGTTTTTATGGTTTTAGGTCTAATGTTTAAGTCTTTAATCCATCTTGAATTGATTTTTGTATAAGGTGTAAGGAAGGGATCCAGTTTCAGCTTTCTACCTATGGCTAGCCAGTTTTCCCAGCACCATTTATTAAACAGGGAATCCTTTCCCCATTGCTTGTTTTTCTCAGGTTTGTCAAAGATCAGATACTTGTAGATATGCAGCATTATTTCTGAGGGCTCTGTTCTGTTCCATTGATCTAAATCTCTGTTTTGGTACCAGTACCATGCTGTTTTGGTTACTGTAGCCTTGTAGTACAGTTTGAAGTCAGGTAGTGTGAGGCCTCCAGCTTTGTTCTTTTGGCTTAGGATTGCCTTGCGATGCGGGCTCTTTTTTGGTTCCATATGAACTTTAAAGTAGTTTTTTCCAATTCTGTGAAGAAAGTAATTGGTAGCTTGATGGGGATGGCATTGAATCTGTAAATTACCTTGGGCAGTATGGCCATTTTCACGATATTGATTCTTCCTACCCATGAGCATGGAATGTTCTTCCATTTGTTTGTATCCTCTTTTATTTCCTTGAGCAGTGGTTTGTAGTTCTCCTTGAAGAGGTCCTTCACATCCCTTGTAAGTTGGATTCCTAGGTATTTTATTCTCCTTGAAGCAATTGTGAATGGGAGTTCCCTCATGATTTGGCTCTCTGTTTGTCTGTTATTGGTGTATAAGAATGCTTGTGATTTTTGTACATTGATTTTGTATCCTGAGACTTTGCTGAAGTTGCTTATCAGCTTAAGGAGATTTTGGGCTGAGACAATGGGGTTTTCTAGATATACAATCATGTCGTCTGCAAACAGGGACAATTTGACTTCCTCTTTTCCTAATTGAATACCCTTTATTTCCTTCTCCTGCCTAATTGCCCTGGACAGAACTTCCAACACTATGTTGAATAGGAGTGGTGAGAGAGGGCATCCCTGTCTTGTGCCAGTTTTTAAAGGGAATGCTTCCAGTTTTTGCCCATTCAGTATGATATTGGCTGTGGGTTTGTCATAGATAGCTCTTATTATTTTGAAATACGTCCCATCAATACCTAATTTATTGAGAGTTTTTACCATGAAGGGTTGTTGAATTTTGTCAAAGGCTTTTTCTGCATCTATTGAGATAATCATGTGGTTTTTGTCTTTGGCTCTATTTATATGCTGGATTACATTTATTGATTTGCATATATTGAACCAGCCTTGCATCCCAGGGATGAAGCCCACTTGATCATGGTGGATAAGCTTTTTGATGTGCTGCTGGATTCGTTTTGCCAGTATTTTATTGAGGATTTTTGCATCAATGTTCATCAAGGATATTGGTCTAAAATTCTCTTTTTTGGTTGTGTCTCTGCCCCGCTTTGGTATCAGGATGATGCTGGCCTCATAAAATGAGTTAGGGAGGATTCCCTCTTTTTCTATTGATTGGAATAGTTTCAGAAAGAATGATACCAGTTCCTCCTTGTACCTCTGATAGAATTCGGCTGTGAATCCATCTGGTCCTGGACTCTTTTTGGTTGGTAAACTATTGATTATTGCCACAATTTCAGATCCTGTTATTGGTCTATTCAGAGATTCAACTTCTTCCTGGTTTAGTCTTGGGAGAGTGTATGTGTCGAGGAATTTATCCATTTCTTCTAGATTTTCTAGTTTATTTGTGTAGAGGTGTTTGCAGTATTCTCTGATGATAGTTTGTATTTCTGTGGGATCGGTGGTGATATCCCCTTTATCATTTTTTATTGTGTCTATTTGATTCTTCTCTCTTTTCTTCTTTATTAGTCTTGCTAGCGGTCTATCAATTTTGTTGATCCTTTCAAAAAACCAGCTCCTGGATTCATTAATTTTTTGAAGGGTTTTTTGTGTCTCTATTTCCTTCAGTTCTGCTCTGATTTTAGTTATTTCTTGCCTTCTGCTAGCTTTTGAATGTGTTTGCTCTTGCTTTTCTAGTTCTTTTAATTGTGATGTTAGGGTGTCAATTTTGGATCTTTCCTGCTTTCTCTTGTGGGCATGTAGTGCTATAAATTTCCCTCTACACACTGCTTTGAATGTGTCCAGAGATTCTGGTGTGTGGTGTCTTTGTTCTCGTTGGTTTCAAAGAACATCTTTATTTCTGCCTTCATTTCGATATGTACCCAGTAGTCATTCAGGAGCAGGTTGTTCAGTTTCCATGTAGTTGAGCGGTTTTGAGTGAGATTCTTAATCCTGAGTTCTAGTTTGATTGCACTGTGGTCTGAGAGATAGTTTGTTATAATTTCTGTTCTTTTACATTTGCTGAGGAGAGCTTTACTTCCCAGTATGTGGTTAATTTTGGAATAGGTGTGGTGTGGTGCTGAAAAAAATGTATATTCTGTTGATTTGGGGTGGAGAGTTCTGTAGATGTCTATTAGGTCTGCTTGGTGCAGAGCTGAGTTCAATTCCTGGGTATCCTTGTTGACTTTCTGTCTCGTTGATCTGTCTAATGTTGACAGTGGGGTGTTAAAGTCTCCCATTATTAATGTGTGGGAGTCTAAGTCTCTTTGTAGGTCACTGAGGACTTGCTTTATGAATCTGGGTGCTCCTGTATTGGGTGCATACATATTTAGCTTAGCTCTTCTTGTTGAATTGATCCCTTGACCATTATGTAATGGCCTTGTCTCTTTTGATCTTTGTTGGTTTAAAGTCTGTTTTATCAGAGACTAGGATTGCAAGCCCTGCCTTTTTTTGTTTTCCATTTGCTTGGTAGATCTTCCTCCATCCTTTTATTTTGAGCCTATGTGTGTCTCTGCACGTGAGATGGGTTTCCTGAATACAGCACACTGATGGGTCTTGACTCTTTATCCAATTTGCCAGTCTGTGTCTTTTAATTGGAGCATTTAGTCCATTTACATTTAAAGTTAATATTGTTATGTGTGAATTTGATCCTGTCATTATGATGTTAGCTGGTGATTTTGCTCGTTAGTTGATGCAGTTTCTTCCTAGTCTCGATGGTCTTTACATTTTGGCATGATTTTGCAGCGGCTGGTACCACTTGTTCCTTTCCATGTTTAGTGCTTCCTTCAGGAGCTCTTTTAGGGCAGGCCTGGTGGTGACAAAATCTCTCAGCATTTGCTTGTCTGTAAAGTATTTTATTTCTCCTTCACTTATGAAGCTTAGTTTGGCTGGATATGAAATTCTGGGTTGAAAATTCTTTTCTTTAAGAATGTTGAATATTGGCCCCCACTCTCTTCTGGCTTGTAGGGTTTCTGCCGAGAGATCTGCTCTTAGTCTGATGGGCTTCCCTTTGAGGGTAACCCGACCTTTCTCTCTGGCTTCCCTTAACATTTTTTCCTTCATTTCAACTTTGGTGAATCTGACAATTATGTGTCTTGGAGTTGCTCTTCTCCAGGAGTATCTTTGTGGCGTTCTCTGTATTTCCTGAATCTGAACGTTGGCCTGCCTTGCTAGATTGGGGAAGTTCTCCTGGATAATATCCTGCAGAGTGTTTTCCAACTTGGTTCCATTCTCCCCATCACTTTCAGGTACACCAATCAGACGTAGATTTGGTCTTTTCACATAGTCCCATATTTCTTGGAGGCTTTGCTCATTTCTTTTTATTCTTTTTTCTCTAAACTTCCCTTCTCACTTCATTTCATTCATTTCATCTTCCATTGCTGATACCCTTTCTTCCAGTTGATCGCATCGGCTCCTGAGGCTTCTGCATTCTTCACGTAGTTCTCGAGCCTTGGTTTTCAGCTCCATCAGCTCCTTTAAGCACTTCTCTGTATTGGTTATTCTAGTTATACATTCTTCTAAATTTTTTTCAAAGTTTTCAACTTCTTTGCCTTTGGTTTGAATGTCCTCCCGTAGCTCAGAGTAATTTGATTGTCTGAAGCCTTCTTCTCTCAGCTCGTTAAAGTCATTCTCCATCCAGCTTTGTTCCATTGCTGGTGAGGAACTGTGTTCCTTTGGGGGAGGAGAGGTGCTCTGCGTTTTAGAGTTTCCAGTTTTTCTGTTCTGTTTTTTCCCCATCTTTGTGGTTTTATCTACTTTTGGTCTTTGATGATGGTGATGTACAGATGGGTTTTTGGTGTGGGTGTCCTTTCTGTTTGTTAGTTTTCCTTCTAACAGACAGGACCCTCAGCTGCAGGTCTGTTGGAATACCCTGCAGTGTGACGTGTCAGTGTGCCCCTTCTTGGGGGTGCCTCCCAGTTAGGCTGCTCGGGGGTCAGGGGTCAGGGACCCACTTGAGGAGGCAGTCTGCCTGTTCTCAGATCTCCAGCTGCGTGCTGGGAGAACCACTGCTCTCTTCAAAGCTGTCAGACAGGGACATTTAAGTCTGCAGAGGTTACTGCTGTCTTTTTGTTTGTCTGTGCCCTGCCCCCAGAGGTGGAGCCTACAGAGGCAGGCAGGCCTCCTTGAGCTGTGGTGGGCTCCACCCAGTTCGAGCTTCCAGGCTGCTTTGTTTACCTAAGCAAGCCTGGGCAATGGCGGGCGCCCCTCCCCAGCCTCGCTGCCGCCTTGCAGTTTGATCTCAGACTGCTGTGCTAGCAATCAGCGAGACTCCGTGGGCGTAGGACCCTCCGAGCCAGGTGCGGGATATAATCTCGTGGTGCGCCGTTTTTTAAGCAGGTCTGAAAAGCGCAATATTTGGGTGGGAGTGACCCGATTTTCCAGGTGTGTCCGTCACCCCTTTCTTTGACTCGGAAAGGGAACTCCCTGACCCCTTGTGCTTCCCAAGTGAGGCAATGCCTCACCCTGCTTCGGCTCGCACACAGTGCGCGCACCCACTGACCTGCGCCCAGTGTCTGGCACTCCCTAGTGAGATGAACCCGGTACCTCAGATGGAAATGCAGAAATCACCCATCTTCTGCGTCGCTCACGCTGGGAGCTGTAGACCAGAGCTGTTCCTATTTGGCCATCTTGGCTCCTCCCCTGCTTTCTTGATTTTTTTTTAGGTACTTTACTATTAGCATAGAGAAATGCTACTGAATTTTGTGTGTTAATTTTGTACACTGAAATTTACTGAATACATTTATTAGTTTTAATTTTTTTTGTGGAATATTTAGTGTTTTGTATATATAAAATCATGTATTCTACCAACAGGGATAATTTAATTTTCTCCTTTCCAATTTGGATGCACTTTATTTCTTTTTCCTTGCTTAATTACCCTGGCTAGGACTTCTAGAACTATGTTGACTGAAAGTCGTTTCTTGTTCCTGAACTTCAAAGAAAAGCTTTCAACTTTTACCCTTTCAGGATATTAGCTGTAGGTTTGCCACGTAGGGCCTGTATTACATAGAGATAGATCTTTACTATACTTAATTGGTTGAGAGTTTTCAATCATGAGAGGGTGTTGAATTTTATCAAATGATTTTTGTGCATTTATTGAAACGATTATGTATTGCTGGTTCTTGACTCTGTTGATGTGATGTATCATATTTATTGATTTGCACATGTGAATCATCCTTGCATCCCTGGAATAAACCCCAATTCATTATGGTGAATAATGACTTTAATGTTCTTTTGATTTTCATTTGCTAGTATTCTGTTAAGAATTTTTACCATTACGTTGATCAAGGGAATTGGCCTGTACTTTTCTTTCTTTACTGTATCCTTGTCTGGTTCTGATAGTAGGGTGATGCTGGCCTCATGAAATGAATTTGAAAGACTTTGAAACAACTATATGCCAAAAAAATTGAGAAATCTAGAAGTGGTTATATAAAAATGGTATTGGTTTTTTAAATGTTTGTTAAAATTCAGCAGTGAAATTATCAAGTCTTGGGTTTTTCTTTGCTGATAAACTTTTTATTACTGATTTATTCTTATTAGTTGTTATTATTCTGTTTAGATTTTCTATTTCTTGCTGACTCTATTTTGGTAGGTTGTATATGTTCAGGAATGTATACATTTCTTCTAGGTTTCTCAATTTGTTGGCATATAGATTTTTATAATAGTTTCTTTGTGTTCCTGTGCTATCAGTTTTAATACCTTCTTTTTCATCTCTGATTGCATTTATTTGAAAATTATCCATATTTTTAGTTTAGTTAAAAGAGTCAATTTTATCTTTTTTTGGAAAAAACTGTTTTATTTGCTTTCCTTTATTAACTTCTATTTTGTGTATTTCTGCTGTGATCTTTATTATTTCTTTTACTATAGTTATTTTGGATTAACTTTGCTCTGGCCTTTCTAGTTCTTGGATGTGCAATGTTAGGTTGTTTATTGAAGATCTTTCTAATTTTTTTGATGTAGACATTTATTGCTATAAACTTTCATCATAGAACTTCTGTGTCTATAAGGTTCATTTGAGTTAGGATACAGTTTAAATCCATTTTTTTTGTTGTTGATTCTATGTCTGGATGATCTGTCCATTACTGAATGTGGTTGTTGAACTTCCCTACTATTACTGAATTGAAGTCTATCTCTCTCTTTAGTTAGCAAATATTTTAGTTATATTTGCTTCATATATTTTGGTGCTCTTGTGCTGGGTGCCAATATGTTTACAGTTTTTATAACCTCTTACTAAATTGGCCCCTTTATCATTATACAATGGTTACCTTTATCTGTTTTTACAGTTTTTGATTGAATTGTATTTTCTCTGATAAGTATAGCTATCCTCCTTTCTTTTGGTTTTAATTTGCATGATATATCATTTTCCTTCCCTTTACTTTCAGTTTATATGTACTCTTATTGTTGAAGTGAGTCTCTTGTAGGCAACATATAGTTGAGTCTTGTTATTTTAATCAACTCAGCCACTGCGTGTCTTTTAATTGAAGAATTTAAGCCATTTACATTCAAGGTTATTACTGATAGCTAAGAGCTTACTCCTGCCATTCTGTTGTTTTCTAAATATTTTGTAGAAAAAAATGTTTTTTTCTTCTTCTTCTGTTGTATAACTTTGTGATTAAGTGGTTTCCTGTAGTAGTAAGATTTGATTCTTTTCTCTTTCTCATTTGTGTATATATTGTAATTTTTTCCTTTGTGACTAATCTGGCACTTTCATGAAAAATTCTTGTAGTTATGTAAGTATATTTTAAACTGATAAAAATTAATTTTGATTGCATGCATATAATTCAGACATCTACCCCACCATAAAATTTATAATTTTATTGCCATAATTTACATTTTTCATATCTTCTTGACAACTTATTGTAACTAGGATTATAGCTTACTATTTTGAAATTTAGCTTTTCTACTAGAGATTTGAAAGATTATATACTATACTACAAGGATAGTAATAGTGTATTATGAATTTGATTATGAGTTTCTCTCTAAAAGTAAGGGTTATACTTTCATGTGATTTCATAGTAATAACTCCATTTTGCTTCTAGTTGGAGCAGTCTTTTAAGCATTTTGTTGCAAAGTCTGGTTTAGTGAAAAATTTCCTCAGCCTTCATTTGTTTAGAAAAGACTTTATTTCTTCATTTCTGAAAAATAACTGTGCTGAATGGCAGGATTTTTTTTTCTTTCAGCACTTTGAATGTATAATCCCATTCTTTTGGCCTGCAAGTTTTCTGTTAAGAAATCTGCTGATAATCTAATGGGATTTCCTCATATTAGACTTGATGCTTTTATCTTGCTGCTCTTAGGATTCTCTTTGTCTTTCAGTTTGGTAGTATGATTATAATGTGCTTTAGAAAGAACCTCTTTTGTTTGGGATTCTTTTGAGTTTCATGGATTTTGATGTCCATATGTTTCTCAAGGCTTGGGAAGTTTTCATCTATTATTTTTTTAAATAAGATTTCTGTGCCTTCTTCCACCTGTTCTCTCTTTATAACTTCCATAATGCAAAAAACATGCTCACAGAATGGTGTCCCATATATCTTGTAGGTTTTCTTTGATTATTTTTTCTTCTTCTTTTTTCTTGACAGAATTATTCCAAAATATTTGTCATCAAGTTCTGAAACTTCTTTCTTCTCCTTGATATAGTCTGCTGTTGAAAGTCTCAGTTGCACTTTTCATTTCACTCACTGGGGCTTTTAACTCCAAATTTTTTTAATGATATTTCACTCTTTGGAATTTGTCATACAGAATTGTATTTCTCATTTTTTTCAAATTTTATATCTGTGCTTCCTTTATCTTGCTGAATTAAAAAAAATGTTATAATGAATTCCTTTTCAGGCAGTTAAAAATTTTTCTGTTCTCTGGGGTTAGTTACTGCAAATTTATTATATTTATTTGGTGCTATTCTGCATCCCTGTTTTTAATTTTTCTTGTGTCTCTGTTGATGTCTGTACATCTAGTGGAACAGTCACCTTTTCTTATATTTTAGAGTATCTTTCACAGGGAAAAATTTTCACTTGCAGATGTGTCTTAGGGTGTCATTTAGGCAGGGTGGATTGCCTAGGTTCCAGGTGGGCACAGTGTTGTAGTATCCATGCAGTTTATTCAGCTATAGTCATCATGCTTGTGAGTGCCTCAATTGCCTAAGCTGCAGCAGCTTGTAGTTTCTTAGACACAGCCTCCATGCTGGGCTGATTCACAGGTCAAATGTGGGTAGGGGCTGTTTGGTTATTTGATCAGGCATGGCTTGTCCGTTGAGGGTGAATGTACCAGGCTGTTCTGGGCAATGAACAGTAGTGAACACTTGTGGCAGAGAAAGGAGTACTTCACACATGAAGAGAAGCCTGAGTGGCACACTGCAGCATCCACTAGTGCCAAAGGATCCTGCTGCTACATGATAATTGTACTATTAGGTGGCTCTGAAGAAGGGTGGAAGGGAAATGTTACCAAAAGGCAGAGTTGCAGGCAATGCCCTTGTTGAATATCCACCTTGTTTGGAAAGGGAAATTGTCAGTGATTAGAACAATATATGAACACAGGGTAATGGTGACTGACTTGTTTGTTTGGCTAGAGTTCTGAAATGGGAGAGAGAGAAAAATTAGGAGGAGGAGGAATGGGAAAATAGCACATGGCATGGATAGACATATTAAGTGGGGAAGAAAACGTAAAGATCTTTGCTTATTGACACTTTCCAGAAAGCAATCACCAGGAAGAGGTACTAAATGATCAGAATGAGTTGTCTCGTAAGTTTAAACTGTCATACCTTACTGCAGTACTGAATGCATAAGTAGTAATTGTGGCAGTACACATCAAGGCTATGTATGGGCCCAACATTATGGGTTTCCCTTAACCAAGGGATGGAAAAAACTGCTGCTGATGTCCATTACTTTAGAAAATCAATCAGTTACTTAGAGGCAAATTGATTACATTGAACCTGTTTCACACTGAAAGGAGCAGCAATTCATGTTGCCCCAAAATCTGCACAAATTCAGGGTATGGTTTTGTCTTTCCTTCATACAAGGCTTCAGCTAATACGTGTATCTGGGGATTCAACAGAATGTTCATTCCAGGTTGATAGTTATGTCCTTCTAAGATGCAGTTGACATAATGACTTGGAGGCAATGCCTTGTAAAGATTATAAAACCGATATAAATGACTATCATGACCTGTCGTGACTCAAAACGGTAGAATGCATAGATGAGAAAATGAAGAAGTAGAAGTGGGTTTATTGACTATCCCTTCCAATGATCCACTAATGCATTTTTTTAAAAATAAACATATGCATTGAGTCAATTTCCAGAAATTTATCATTTTTGTCATGTTTATAAAGTTTTATCATTGCAGTTTGGAGAAAGATTTTGCCAAGCTCCTCGCAGAAATGTTGCTCTGCTTTTACATTTCTAAAGGAAAATTATTTTGAAACTATATTTTTGTAAACAGCCAAACTATCAATCAAATGTGAAGGCAAAATAAAGATTTTTTAAGGTATTTATAGAAGAAATGTTTTATCCACAAACTCTAAGCAAATTACTTGGTGATGAATTCAAGAAACACAAAGGATTACATTTAGAAAGAAGACATAAGGTACAATGAATACAACTGAAGAGAGTTGTGGAAAAAATGATGAATCATGAATGGATAAACCTGTGGAAAGCCTCAGAAAGTAACAAATCTAGACCAGAAATGAACGTGAGAGGTGGTGGAGAGAAGGATCTGTGCAGAGAATATCGTGTGACACAGATTTGTTAAATTTAAGGATATGTCAAAGGAAAATAGCACAAAAAGAGAAATGTATGTTCAAATTTAAGGATCAACAAAATTAAACAAGAGTAGTATATATTATCAGGTATCATTTCACATTACAATAAAACTCTGATCACAATAATATAAAAAGTTATTGATTTTCAATTTTGACAGCTCAATTATATACAAAATTAGAAAATATAACTATGTTAGATTTGGGGAAGAAGTATTGCATGAGAGCTAAAATAATTATTAATGAAAATGATAAAGACACTTATTTTATAATTATTAGAATAAAATAAATGTTTCAGGAATATTACTTATCAATGGGAGGAACTAAAAATAATATTTTAGGAGGAAAGGAAGGGAAGTCAAGGAAAATATATGTCACTTAACTAAATCTACATCGAAATAATTTGTCCACTGCATAGTATGTAACATTCAAATAACAACCAAAAAAAAAACCCAAAAAATTACAGAAGCATAAACAAGAATATACACTTAAAGAACTAAATGCAGTATTCTGGGGAGTGGAACTGGGAATCAGGTAGAGTGGGCAAAGGATTGGTACTTTTTACTATAAGGCTTTTTGTATTTGATATTAGAGTATTATGTTTTCAAAAATGTGTACACATGTTTTAATAATCAACGGTTGTAAAGCAACCAAAATTAACTAAATTTAGAAGAGGCATGCTGTCTAAAAAATATATCAATGAATGTTAAAATTGTGTCTGAGATTACTCTAGCGGTTAGGAGCACAGTGTTTGAAACCATGCTACCTATGATGAGTCCAGGTTCTGCCATTTAGTGGTGTGACTATGTTCACATCATGTTAAATAAGTTATTGCAGTGAGTAAAGGAAAAAAAACACACAAATATGTAAGATTTAGAAAAAGAAAGGATGATTTAAAAGCAAACCTTTTAAAACAAATTGTTATTGCTAAATAATAATTTTCTTTTCCTGGTCACGTGTGTGTCGTTATTTATCCTATTATCCTATTCCTTCTATTAAGAGTTTTTGTGTCTACTTTTACTGAAGGATGTTTTCTAGTGACTTTTTTTTTTTGAGGCGGAGTCTTGCTCCGTTGCCCAGGCTGGAGTACAGTGGTGCTATCTCCACTCACTACAACCTCTGCCTTCCAGGTTCAAGGGATTCTCCTGCCTCAGCCTTCTGAGTAGCAGGGATTATAGGCGCCCATCAGAACACCCAGCTAAATTTTGTAGTTTTAGTAGAGATGGGGTTTCACCATGTTGGCCAGGCTGTTCTCGAACTCCTGACCTCAAGTGATCTGCCCACCTCGGCTTCCCAAAGTGCTGGGATTACAGGTGTGAGCCACCATGCTCGGTGGTTCTCTAGTGATTTTTTTTTTTTTTTTTTTTTTTTTTTTTTTTTTTTTTTTTTTTTTTTGAGACGGAGTCTCGCTCTGTCGCCCAGGCCGGACTGCGGACTGCAGTGGTGCAATCTCGGCTCACTGCAAGCTCCGCTTCCCGGGTTCACGCCATTCTCCTGCCTCAGCCTCCCGAGTAGCTGGGACTACAGGCGCCCGCCACCGCGCCCGGCTAATTTTTTGTATTTTTAGTAGAGACGGGGTTTCACCTTGTTAGCCAGGATGGTCTCGATCTCCTGACCTCATGATCCACCCGCCTCGGCCTCCCAAAGTGCTGGGATTACAGGCGTGAGCCACCGCGCCCGGCCTCTCTAGTGATTTTTAAAGATTTCTTTAAGAGCTAGTTCATAATAAGCCTAGTCTTTTTGCCACAACTTGTAAACAATTTGTGATTGCTAATACAGTATAAGTCGTCGACAGGAGTTTTGGGGCTTCTGAATTAAAATTAACACACTAATGATGATTATCTTTCAGTTAGGCCTGTGAATAAAATGGCTGTTCAGCAAAGTAGACGCTGTTGTTAAATATACTCCTCTTACTGACAATGGTGCTATGATAGCTTTTAAATGACAGGAATCAACCTAAGAGTACACTGAGATAAAGGAATGGTAGAATAAAATGTGAAGAAACAATTAAAATGGAGCTTCTGTTAAGTTATTAATACACTGTAAGATTTGGAATAATTTCAGAAATATATTTAGGTAATGCTGTAAGTGGAGAGGATTAATTTTCTCATAATAATTTCAATTCAGATAGCTGACTTTGTCAGTGAAACTGACAATGCTTCTAATATTCTGTGATCTCTGCATCTCACAGAGACTTACAATAAAGACTAAGTTTAATTGTAACTTTTTTTCCCTCTGACCTGGACATATTTTTATAAATTCGTACTGTAATCAATTTCAGATATAAGTGCAATACTATGCATTTAAATATTCTACTCCTTTAATCCTGATCCATTGTCCTTAAAATAACCTTGGCAGCTTTTGCTTATTTTCCTTCTAAATATTTTTTCCCCAGGAGCTTCTTTGTCCCTTAATATAAATAGACTTCTAGTGTCTGTTTCATCAGTGTACCAGACACATCCAGACATACTGACATTCTGATGTAAAAACAGGTTACACTCATATTCACATGCTGCAAACAATTGTGCTCATGCGTTCTACCATAGAGGGTTATCATAAAATTTAAAGGAATAGAATATGTGAAAGCATTTTAAAAACTATGAACTATATACACTGTGAGGAATTATCATTTAATTAATTAATTTAATTTTGATGCTTTAAGAAACGAATCCATCTTTCCAATACTGATGTTTGAGTATTGGTAAGGACAGGGCATTACTTGGCTTGTAAGTTACTGGCCAAAACTGAAAGAAAGATTCAAGATTTCAAACTTAAATTACTTGTGGCAATAAGTGTGAAATAGACTGAGGCTCTCTTTTCAAGCCATGATAAATGTGCATAGGAGAGTATATTTTTCCTTCTCTCTCCTCTCACAGATCAGGCATAAAATGGATACAGGCATGTTGATAGGCATCTGTTTAGGCTACAAGGTTGCCAAAAACTACGAAACAATTCTTGACAAAATTCTGTCAACTGAGTAATTTAAGGCTGTCCACATTTCAGAAATTTTATCTGTAAGAAATTTGTCGACACTGCATGGATGATGGCTGTAGTCACTGCTTCCTTTTACTGTGCAGTGATTTGGACAGTAATGGACAGACTGGTTTGAAGCCTCTACATTTTTGGTAGTATAATATATGGCAATCATAAATTGCTCAAAAAGGGCAATATAAAACCAGCTTTCAGATTTCAATAACTGAGGTCAGTTTGACATTTAGAGACAGTGGGCTTGTTGATGGCAAGTCTGCATACTTTTGCATGATTTTAAATATAAAGTAAGTCACTCAGCAAACAGAAAATAAGAGTCAAGCAAAAATAAAATTTTCTGCTTGACTGAAGAGGATGATAAGAGTTTATATATTTATTATTCTGGAGATTATTTAAAGATTAGTTTTAATTAAGATGAGGTGAAAGGAAAATTAGACAAAATAACATTAAAAAAATTTTTCAACACTAAGAAAGTATAGGAGACCTAAAGCCATTTTGTGTTGCATTTCCAGTGAATTGCCTCATTTCAGGAAACCATCTTTGTATTATATTGTCTTCAAAACTAGGGGCTTTAAATATAAGCATTTATACATGCCCTGTCTCCTGCAGACATCCCTCTTGCCTTCCTTACTTGCTACCAGATAATCTTATTTTTAACCTTAGACCTTAAGTGTGTTGCTAGCATGATGCACAATACCCTGTGAATCTGGCTTCTTGGTACCAATTCTTTTGATTGTTCTAGTCTTCACTCCCTTTAATGTGTTCGGTGCCCCACTAGATTGCTTGATTGTCAGTAAAGTGCCATTACCTCTGTTTGGTGTCTTGATCCACCTGGAAATTTTATGTAAGAAATTGAGTTTAAAATTTTAAGTAAAAAGTGAAAATAACATAAGATGAAAAGAAATTAATCACTTTGCAGTATCATAAAACAAGAATGAAATTAAAATTAATAAAAGGAGTCTGCACTAAACTAAGAAAGTAACATTTGATCACAGTTACTTCCTCATCATTTCTCTCCTTTTCACCCTTGCTGCTTAGAGAAGATAAGGTCTTTGCAGAGGAAGGGAGAAAAATAGTATTCATTATATCTGAAATATATGAAATTCTGTTATGTGATTTATCATAGTATTTATTGTTGTTTTTTGTTTTTAACTTTTAATAAGCCAAAGTAGCAATGCAAAACCTAGAATGAGAAAAGCCTACCTAAACCAGTAAGAAAGAACATAGTCAATGTTAGGGAGACAGTAATTTATTCTTACAAAATGAGCTGACCTATTGACTGGCATTAGAAAGCAGCTGTAGTAAACTGCAGTTCCCTGGTGTTTGCACTAAATTACAAGTAAAAATATTTGGGTTCCAGGTCTACCTGTTATTAATTAGCTTGGGGCAACTCAGTCGCTTTAGGAATTGACACAATATACACATTTAATCTGTAAGTAAGAGGTTGGAGTGAATGAGTTCCAAAGTTTTTTATAGCTCAGCAAAATTGTTTAATTTTGAGGAATTAGTTTTAAAATATGACTGGTATTAAAACTAAGATCTTTCCAGTTTCCTAATCCTGTTATTTTCAACAGGTCAGACATTACAATAATATAACTTTCATATCTTTTATGCCCATACAGAAGTTGTGATTAGCTCACAGCCTCTGCCCAGCTGGTGTTGTCAAATAAAGGTTTATTCTATTAGGTGGGGCAGGGTGTGTTGGAGGGGGCAATGAAGACAGAAATGAAATTAAACCTTCAAATTATATTATTCTTAAGGCCCAGTCTCTTTGGAGCAGGTGTATAAAGTGGGAACCAACCAATTTGGAGATTCTTAGAATCTTTATGATTGTCTTAGAAGTCCCAGCCAGGCTTAAAACTTAGAATTGTCTCTAATGATATTTTAGGGGAGTGTACATACGCTAGCAGGTAGGCCCAAACAGCAATGATTCTGGACGGATTTGAATTTGCAACTGGATTCCCAAACTCTAGGATACTAGCTGTCACTCTCTATCATTTCGTTATCCTTGTAATTAAACAACCGCAAATCTTCTGCAAATGAATTTTGATTTCCACTGCCACAAGGTGATAGAGTTTTACTTTACTCATTTGGAGAGTCATCTGTTTTGGATGTTGAAATGTGACCTCCAATGTTGGAGAAGGGCCTAGTGGAAGGTGTTTGGGTCATGGAGGAAGACCTCTCATGAATGGCTTTGTGCTATCCTTGCAGTAATGAGTGAATTGTCACACTTAGTTCACAAAACAGCTGGTTGTTTAAAAGAGCCTGGAACCTCCTCAGCTTTTTCTTGCTCCCCCTCTTGCCATGTGACACACTGGCCCCCCTTTACCTTCTGCCATGATTATAAACCTCCTGAGGCCCTCACCAGAAGCAGATGCTAGCAGCATGCTTCTCATACCACCTGCGGAACTGTGAGCCAAAATAAACCGATTTTCTTTATAAATTACCCAGATTTAAGTATTCCTCTATAAGAATTCAAAAAACTAACACAGAGGTGTACAAACTATTTTTCAAGGAACGTAAGTTATACTTTAATGTTGGCAGTGTTCTCAAGAGCAGGTTAGTGTGCTACAACAAAGGCTGAATTACTTAACGAAAGTGAAAAAAAATGCAGCCTAGTGAAAATGTGTAATGTTCTGTAGAACTAGAATGCTATGTTTCATTGAAGAGTTCAGTATAAGAACCTTTCTCTGTTTCTGACTTTCTTTTTACTGCTGCTATTCTAAATTTTTTTTTTTTTTTTTTTTTTGAGATGGAGTCTTGCTCTGTTGCCCAGGCTGGAGTGCAATGGTGCAGTCTTGGCTCACTGACACCTCTGCCTCCTGCGTTCAAGCGAAAGCAATTCTCCTGCCTAAGCCTCTCGAGTGGCTGGGATTACAGGCACCCACCACCATACCTGGCTAATTTTTGTACTTTTAGTAGAGACGGGGTTTCTCAATGTTGGCCAGGCTGGTCTCGAACTCCTAACCTCACGTGATCTGCCCGCCTCGGCCTCCCAAAGTGCTGGAATTACAGGGGTGAGCCACTGCACCCAGCCCTAATACTTCTAGTCTTGACTCAAGTATACCTGCAACTCTCCAAACTCCTGTGATTTGGGGCTAATATAAGAATCACCTGTCACTAGTTCCATTGAATAACTACATTTTTTGTAGGAAGAAGCGTCGAAAGGCTTTCAGAGAACCATCAGTCAAGTCATGGACTGGTATATGGTGTACCTTAAAATTACCAGGGAAGCATCTTATAATTTTGATTTCCTGGAAAGCATTGCAGAACTACTAATAAAGAAATTGTGTGCAGGGCAACAAAATGTTTATTCTATACAAGTTACTCACCGTCTATATTACTCATAAAATTGATAACAACTGCTCATAAGAAAAACAAAATTGTGATTTTAATTAAACTTATTTCTGTGTTGGGATTGTTGGTGCCATGATTTTTACCCACTAAACTTCAATTTTGAACCCTAGAAATAGTCCCTACCTTGAGTTCTTCACCCTGTAGAATTTTCACTTTTTTCTGGTGTACAGACATTTTAAAGTTTCAGATTAAAAAATAACTATCAATTGTATTTATTTTGTAAGAAAAGTGTTAAAATAAATACTGTGAAATGATATTTAGAATAAATTCTTTGTTGAAAGAAAAAATATAGAAGTAAAATTTTTATAAAGAAATGAGTACAACTCTGTTATGTTAAATGGAAATTAGGAATAGTGGTAGGAAATCTTTATAGTTACTTTAGTTTTTAGATATGTATTTCATAATTTTGGATACTAAAATGATTACCAGGAAGCAACTTCCAGTAATGATGTGCATTATTACCAGATATATTTTTGTCTCTCAATTCCATTCTCAAATATAAGAAATTAATATTCTTTGGGAAAAAATGTTAAATTTAAGTCTGAGGCAGGAAAGAAACACACAAAATTGGAACTAGAACGTAAATTTTTGACCAAAAAGCACCATATCAAAGACTGATGAGTCATAACCAAAATGATAGGGTGGCAGGTCTGACGAGAATCTTATAGGGCAAATACATGATCATTAGAGTAACAAAAATAAAAACAAAAATTGTTTAATCTCCTAATGACTACTGCAGTTGATTGAGACACATAAATTATCTAAAAGTCCAATAGTTCAAAATAAGTTTAAAAAATAATAATTTGACACTATTTAAAATAGCTAGTGTACCAAATACCTACTTTGAAAATTGATAAATTAAAGAACAGGAATTTTTCTGATTCAGTTTTCTGTAAAAATTCTGAGTTTTGTAAAAGTAGGAAAATATATCATAAAATTGCTTTTTAAATACCCCTCAAGATATAATTGATGCAGTCAACAATTATCAAACAGATATTAAAACCATTACTTGAAAACTTGTTTGGTGACTGGATATTCACAAGACATTAATGCATTACCATGGTAATTATTTGTTCATTATAAAGGGAAAACAAAAAATGTGCACTTGTGGGTTCAAGCTGTCACAACTTGAACCTGGTGACCCATCACTAAGAGTGGACTTTTAGTGCTTCATGATATAATGTAAAATGAAATAGAAGCATCATACTATGGTCTTGCAATAAGGCTGAAAAAAAATACTGAGGCCTTTGCCTCTAGTTTTCAGTTCACAGGAAACAGAATAAATATTTAAAAAAAAAAAGATTAACATATCCATAAGGAAGCAATAGTATTTGTAGAGTTCTGAACATTATGAAGGAAACCTGATCTTATTCCTCTGATAAGGCAATGAAGTTGGATTAGAAAAGATTTATAACCGGTAAATCTATTCTTAAAAAATCTTATCTATCAGGGTTGGGGGGCTAGGAGAGGAATAGCATTAGGAGAAATACCTAATGTAGATCACGGGTTGATGGATGCAGCAAACCACCATGGCAGGTGTATACCTATGTAACAAACCTGCACATTCTGCACATGTACCCCGGAACTTGTCTTATTGTTTCAATTAAACAAATGATAAAAATACTATTTTGTTTTACCTGTCAATGTGAAAGTGAGTTGAGCATTAGATAAAATTAAGAAACTTTCAAATTTCCATTATTGAAAAAAAATTCTTTCTTTAAAAAGCTGCATACTGACGATCCATGATGACAGTTCTTGATTCAAATACTTTGGTAAATCAAAAATAAACAAATTAAACATGGTGCATGTTAAACATCATTCAATCTTGATGATGTGGGTATTAAGATTCATTAAAATAGTCTCTTTTATATATACATATATTTTAAACCTTTAGGAAAATTTAATTTAAAAGACATTTTAAGGCATATTCAGTGATCTTTTAATTACTACATTTTGGTTAAATTTGGCCTCCTTTTGACTACCTAAATTATAAAGGCAAAATGTTTATCTATAATTCAGATTTCATCTTTGCTCTACACTGCTATGGGTTTAACCAACCAATTCTAATCCACAGTCTACTTTTTATAATTCACAAAAAGTAATAGTACAATGAAAAATTTCGTAAATTTTTCCTGTAATTTGTTTGAATTTCTGGATACCACTGGTTAAGATAAATCACATTTGTAGTAGTTGCTATTGCTTAATTTTTTTTAAGTCTAAATTTTTGATTTATGTCTTAACATGGATGCCTTTCATTAGGGAGATAAAGTAACTTTTTACCCAAGCAAAGTCAACTCAAATATAAAGTAGTAGTGCCCTAAAAATAATTAAAATAACTATTGCTTTAAAATACTTATATAATTTTAATACAGATTTATTATATTGTTAGAATAATTAAATAATATTCAAAAATTATTTTTATAAATATAAATATTTAAATAATATATCTATACTTTACAAAAAATATAATATTGTCATTTTGAATATCTAAACATCAAAAAGCCAATAGTCATTCTTTGTATATAGTCCCATATTGTCTCTCAAAAGTGAACTGTTGATGTTTATCTGAATAAGTAATTTTTCTAGTATATTGTTATCAGTTTTAATTTTTTCACACAATTAAAACACTTCTTTAAATTTGCATTTTGTGGTCAACATATTTGAAATTGTTGTCTTTCTAATCAACACTTCTCAATTGATCATAATATATTTTTTGAGCAAATACTCCTTCTTTAGGAGCCAAGGTAACTAGGAAGATTAGATCAAATCTGCTAACAAATAGGCATTATCAATTTTACAAATAGAATGCATAAATATTTTATCTGAAATATTTAAATAGACACTATTCCTTAGACTGAATTGAGAATTTTTTTAACAAAAGAAAAAAAACTAATAAAATTAGTAATTTCATTTCTCATTTAGTGAATTTTAGCAAAATTATTATGGGATGAAATCACTGGTCTTCTGTTTTCTATTAAAGAATAGAATATAACCTATCTGATTAAAAATAAGAGTTCTGATTGTCACTTCAAGAATGGCAATGGGAGGAGTTCTGCAGACAGACATGCTCCCTAGTGAAACAGACATAAATTGTGAAAAATAAAAATAAAAGAATATTTGAAGTCTCTTGAAATGGTCTTAAGGGCAAATTACAAATAAAAAAAAATTATTCAAGAAAATCTACTAATATTCACTAGGTGCACTGAGAATCTGTGGCATTTGAACTGGAACCTACTCCTTTTCTCCTATAGCCCCTCAACCCCAGTATAATGGATTTTAACTCTTAATAAGTACATCCAGAATATGGGATTTCTTCTCTCACCTTACATCTGAAGGCTATGGTATATTCCTGGTAAGGGTGGGACATCAGTATTCTCATTCCCTTCCTACCCCAGCTACCTGATACAGAGGCAATTCCAGGAGAGTTTGGCCAAGAGGTTGGAGGCTCCCTTCTTCCACTAGATCTCACTCATAAATGAGGTCTTTGCCACAGAAGCGTGCTGATAATATTTGTGCCCAACTGCTCCCACCTAGCTCATTCATAGAGTAGAGCTTCCATTCTTCTTTACATAAAGATAAAGGCAAATAAAAATGCCCAGAGGTTGCCATTCCTAACCAGAGCTCTTCCAAAGTAGCAGTGGACTCAAAGAAACAGGTCACTATTCCTGGCATCAGTTCCAGGTCCATAGCTCAGAGACTTTGTCTAAGTGGAGATGCAGGCCATATAAACAGAGAACTCTAAAGCTCTCCTGAATTTGAACCAGTCTGTGGGAGAAAAGAGGCCAAAGCAGGATGACAGAACAGGCCCCCTCCAGTGATTGTCCCTCCACAGAAATGTAATTTGAGAAACTCTCCGTGTCCCCAAATATCTTCACAATAGCTAAGAGAACCAGGTGAGAGATCACAGCACCTGATTATAGCACAATGATAAAAGACACATTGAAGAGGGCAGGAAGGACAGTTTTACATTACCACACAGACCCTCTCCCAACCCCAGACAGCACAGTGCAGAAAGAGATACCATCCACTTGAGAGAGAAAGAGCAAAGTAGGCATAGAATTTTATCTGAAAAATCCCATATTGGGCCCTTGATAGTAAAACCTAGCACTAGGCATTACCCCATGACTCTTGACTCCAAGGTATTAACCACAGACTGAGCATCTAAACCCATTCTGACACCAGACAAGAATATATAACTCCTGTGAGAAAAACGTTAGTTATAGCTTGCATCACTACTGGCTGACTATAGTGGCCTTGGGCTTCAAATAACTCACAGCAACAGGCTGGCCTCAGCAGCCATGAGTTTTGAGTATACGCCAGTGCTGTGCCTGTCTTAGCAGCCAAAATATTGTTCAGTCCAGCATTGTTCCAGTTATGATGGTCTTGGGTTTAGGGCTTCCACTAGCTAGCACTACAAGAAATGCAGTGGTCAGGGCTTAGGGACAACACTAGATGACCTACTCAGAATCTCAGAATGGGCTTACTATTGAAGGATGTTCCTCAACAAACCTAGAGTGCAAAGAATGGAGCAAGTACCTACTTCTTCAATGTGCAAGGATAAACACGTGACAAGGATTTAGAACAATCAAGAAGACATGACATCATCAAATGGACAAAATAAGGTACCAGTCACCAACCTTAAAGATATGGAAATTTATAAACTGTGTGACAAAGTATTCAAAGTATCTGTCTTAAGAAAGCTAAAAAATCTGTGAGAACATATAAACAATTAGAAAACATAGGTAAAACAAGTGATGAGAATAAGAAATTTAAGAGAGACTAAAATAATAATTAAAAGAAATCGAATAGAAATCCTGGAGTTGAAAAAATAAATGAACAAAGTGAAAAATGTAATAGTATTAACAGCAGAATTGATCAAGAGGAAAAAATTCTATAAGCTCAAAGACAGGTTATTTGAAAACATACAGCCAGGGGATAATAAAATGAAAAAATGAAGAAAGCTTATGGGATTTATGAGATAGTATTAAAGGAGAAAATGTATGAGTGATTGGTGTGCAAGAGTGAATGGAGAAAGATAAAGGGATAGAAAACTTATTTCAAAGAATAATAGCACAAAAAAATCAAACTAGGAACAAGATATAAATATCCAGGTACAGGAAGGTCAAAGGTTTCCAATGAGATACAATCCAAATAAGACTACTCCAAGACATATTATAATCGAATTGTCAAAGCTGAAAGAAAAAGAGTGAATCTTCAAAGCGACAAGATAAAATACGCAAATAAATGGAGTTCAAATGTGCCTGTAGCAGACTTCTCAGTAGAAACTTTACATGCCAGGAGATAAGATAGTAGGATGATTTATTCATGGTGCTGAAGGAAAAAAAATAAAATCTATGCCAGTGAAGAATATGGTACTGAGCAAAGCTGTCCTGCAGAAGTGAAGGAAAAATAAAGACTTTCCAGGAGAAACAAAAGATGGAGATTTTCATCACCATCAGAACTGTCTTATAAAATATGCTAAAGGTAGTACTTCAAGCTAAAAGAAAAGAAGGCTAATGAGTTTAGCCTAATGAGTTAGCCTAAAAGAAGGCTAATGAGTTTCATGTTGTTTTTACAACACAAAAACATGTAAAAATATAAAAGTCACTGGAAAAGGTAAGGACACATTCAAATTCAGAATTCTCTAATACTGTAATGGTGGTGTGTAAATCACTTACAATTTTAGGATGAAGGTTAAAAGACAAATCTATTAAAGATAATAATAAGTACAATAATTTGTTAAACGCTATGCAATATTAAAAGGAGTAAATTGTGACGTCAAAATTGAGGGCCAAGTGAAAACAGAGTTTTTTTTTTTTTTCTATGAAAGTTAGGTTGTTAAGCACTTAAAAAACTTCATATTACTATGTTTTCTGTGAGCATCATGGTAATCATGAAGCAAAATCTGTAACAAATACCCTAAAAACCAAAAGGAAGAAACAAAATATACTTCCAGAGAAATCACTTAATTATAAAGGAAAATTGCAAACACTCTCTAGTTACAGGAGCCAGAATAAAAATGGATCAATCTGTGAAGTTATTTATGTGCCAGATCATTGTTGAAAACAATAGAGCAATCAGCATGTAATTAATGGAGCTTAATAGCTCTATGTAATTAGGAAAGAGACAAAGAGAACCCTGTCAAACCACTGTTATCTCAAGGTGACAGTGTACACACCCAAGGTTGTACCATCATTAAAATAGTTCTGTCAGTCACTAAACAAATACACAAGTGAACAACAGTAACAAGCTGTGGGGAAGGGTGAAAAGAGTATAGAGTGTTGCTACAATATATTACGGAAAATATCTAAATTTCAACAACAAAAAATGATGATTTATGCAAGAGACAAGAAAGTAGAAACCATATGAAAGAAAGGAAATAAACAAAGCAGGCAATAGAAACTGTGAGAGGGACCAGATGTTGGATTTAGCAGACAAAAAACTTTCAAAGTAGTAATCATAAATATTTTCAAAGAACTAAATCACATCCTTAAGAACATAAAGGAAGTCATGATGGCAATGTCTCAATAAATAAACAATATAAATAAATATATAGAAATCATAATAAGAACCAAATAGAAATTCTGGAGTTGAAAAGTACAACTGAATTGAATAAACAATTTACTAGGCTCAATAATGGGTTTGACCTGGCAGAAGACAAAAATTAGTCAACAAACATTAGAACCAAAAAAGGTATATGACATTTTAATAGAGTCATGGACAAGGATTGAGTTTAGGTAAAATTTATGCCAAGAAAATTTTTAACAGACACAAAGCAAAGCAGGGCTGTATATAAAGGAGTCAATATCAGTTCCAAATAACCAAGCTGACACAGGGTCTTTCTTCCTCGGGAATTACAAAGTTAAGCTAAATGTGGAATATTACATCAGGAAGCCACTTGTTTGATGTTCTGTATCTGTGTTGGAAATTAGACTGCTTTGCTATGTCAAGGTGACTTAAATCTTCTAGAAGAGAGTAAGATGTTTTATTTACTAATATAATTTCAAAAAAAATTTTATGGCCTATTTTAGAATATGAAATCATTCTTGAGTAATAAAATGGTAATCACTCAAAGAAAAGAGTTGTTGGGACACTTTACAGCTGCAGAATATTCCATGGAGAAATCTTGTTTCCTGTTGACTCTACAGTTGGATTTATCTGAGTCTGTTTGTCCAGCGCGAGGAATGATAGATAACCTGATTTTTTACTAGAAACATCTATTGCTACTGATGATAAATATAATTTCAACATTGGCATTGTTCTTCTGCTAATGGTGCTAAAACATTAAAGATATCATTTCACTTACATTTCAGCACAAGAATGGTCAATTTTTATTTTTATGTCAATGGAAAGTTAGACTTCTTACAGTAATAGGTAAACTAATGTTTTGTAGCTCAATGTGTTTCCACTGCTTACAAGCACAGTGTTCTAAATATTTGACCTTTGATGTGGATATTGGTGCTTCTTCAGTGGATTTATCCTCTGGATTTTCTTGGTTTCTGTGCACTATAATCACAAAAGCCCCAATGAGGATTTAAATGTCAATGAAAATTTTATTCAAATTATACTTTAATCACCACATTTTTTAGTATTTAAATTGCAGTACCTAAAGTTTCATTTTAAACTTATTATTTCAAAAGGATGTACTATAGAATAAAAATTTGTTTCTAAAAACTAAAGCCAAAACACCGCAGCAAGAATGTTCAACTGTTTTCTATAAGCTCTATGACAGCCTATTTCTGTTCACTTTTCTGAGCTGTGCAGCCTATTTCTGAGCACATTTCATGTACACCTAATGTACAATTCCCCACATTTATCCTTGACCTGACCTACAAGAGACCTAAAATATTAGGACATTTTGAACACTGCAGGATTACCTATGAGAGTACTGCCAATTTTTCAGCAAATGCCCAGCACAGTCAGAGAAGCACTGGATGCCTCTCCAGTTGTGCTTCTGAACTCATTTTGCAAGATGTACTTTGCAAGGAAGGAGTTATCAATGCTGTGTCTACAACGGTAGTAAATGACAACCATCTTCACTGAGCATGCTTGCTTAGAAAATAGCAGAAGTTTAGGTAAAAAGTGAAGGCTTGTGGAACAAATCTCAGTTACTTTCATACATTTTGTAATAATAACATTTACCTAACCATGATGCATTGTTGAAAAATGGAAACCTACGAGATGCTGAACTGGATGGAATCCAGGACTATGGATAGCTATAATTGAGACTCTGGCAGGTGAACATCTTGTATGGTTATATTTACATTGGTGGAAAAAAAATGTAAACTCACTCAAGATATGTAATCAAAAATGGGTTCTTGATTATAAGGATACAGAATGATCTAATATGAAGAGTACTTAGGAAATTGAGTTGTCCCTCCAGAGGAACTGGATCTAAGAGATGCTTTTCTTTGCATACCTGTTCTTTCTGAGTCTTTCACTGCCTAGTAACTCTCTACTGTTCGACCTTATGGGGGAGAAAGGAAAATCAATGCTAAAAGCTAAGGCTATAGGAAAGGACTGCCAGATAATGAGGGGCTTTAGAATCACATTAGTGTGTTTAGAATCTACTCTTCAGGCAACGGGAAAATAATAGGATGTAGGCAAGAAAATATAATCGTATTTATATGTTAGAAAGATGAATGTGACTGAAGAAAAAAATTCTTAAGACTTCCCAAGAGAAGAAATTGTAAAATCTACTTTTCAAAAATTTCTTGTGCCTCGTCAACAGTTGCAGCCTTCCAGGAAGTGATTTATTTGCTGATAGAATGTGTCCCAAGTGTACAAATTAAGCATTCCTTCCTACCCAATCTCACAGGCAGAAAAAAAGAAGCATTTGAATTGTACTTATATTTCTCATTATGCTTCAGGTTCTCAAATTGGTGTGAAACAACTTCCTCTGTGAATAGTATTTTGTATACTATGCCAAGGGAGTACACCACAGGGCAATAAATGCAGATGTTTTCTGAGTGGGGCCTTCCCATAAAGGAAGACCATATTATAATTTGGAGGAAACTTTTTTCATTACTTTAAATATAAGCACTGTCAGAATACAGAGGAAATGGCTTAATATATATAAATATTAAAATTTAAAGGCCCAAATATTAAGTACAGGTGTATAAATGGTGTTTTGCACTGTATTTTTATATTTTATCTTTTAAATATTTTCTTCTATAATATGTATTTCAATGTAGTAATTATTAAGTATTTCTTATCTTCAAGGAATAATAATGATTATGTAGGGCTGTGTTTCAAAGTCTTTGTAGGTCAGTGGCAATCTGGCTCTCTGAGATTCTTCTCTAGGGCTTATTAAATACAAAATTCATAGGTCTCCTCCTCAAGAGTCTGATTCAGTGGATCTGGTAACCATTTACATAAATATTATAAAGCTGAGTTGGAGAAATTTTCTATTTTCAAATATTTGCAAGTTAGAAATGTTTCATTTCAGCCTCTTATATTCCATTCTTCCTGCTTTAGAGAAATATATATTCATCATGCCTTCACTATCACTTGAACCTGCTAAGCAGAAATCCTCCTGCCTATAGTTTAATTCTGTCCTATTTATTCCTATACATAATATACTTCACAGCACTTTGAATATAAAAACTCCTATCAATTTTACCTCCTAAGGAATTCAATTACTCCTCACTATCTTGACTACCACCACTCTTATCTAAGTTACACTCATCTCTTTCATAATCTACAGGTGTAGCTTCCTAATTAGTCTACCTCCATCAGGCTGTGCTCCCTCCAATCTATTCCTCATAACATAGATGTACCCAACTTTTTAAAATGCAAATTGAATCATATTGTCACCAGCTCACCTGCCTACATGCACGTGCATGCACACACACACACACACACACACACACTCTTTACCCTTAAACAATTTCATTTTCCTTCAATAGGTTTTTATTGCACATAGGATAAAGTCAGCATTCCTTAGAAGACTACAGTCTACATATACTAGCCATTACTACCTTTCCAACATAACCTCACATCACTACTTTATTTTCATTCTGTGTTCTGACCACTGCACTTTTTTTTAAAAGATATCTGGACTATGGTTGACAGAATAATGCCATAATGCCCCCAACCCAAGATTCCCACTTAATAATCCCTGGAACCTAGGAATGCATCATATTATATGGTATAAGGATATTGATGATGCAGATTCAATCAACATTGCCAATAAGTTAATTGTAATATAAGATGACCACGAATAGTCTGATTGGGAACAATCTAATCGCATGATTTCTTGGAAGCAGAAGAAGCAAACGAAGAGAGTTAGAAAAATGCAAGTTTTCATTTTAACCAAGGAATATGGTTCCCTCTAGAAGCTGGGAACAGAACAGATCTCAGCTCATTGCCAACACAAAAATAAGGGGGACCTTAATCTTATGACAATGAGCTGAACTACACCAATAACTTGAATGAGCAAGGTAATCAACTCTTCCCTAGAGCCTCCAGAAGATATCATATTCTGCCATCACCTTGATGTCAGCCCATGAGACTGGTGTTGTACTGCTAACCTACAGTACTGTATGATAATTAGTTCAGTTTGTTTTATGCCCCTGAGCTTTTGTTGAATTGCCACCCCAGCAATAGAAAGCTAATTCTTATACCCAAGATGTTATCCGGTGATGTTCCCTGCCTAGAATATGTTTTCTCTCATATTCACAAAACTCGTATTCGTTAGATTTCAAGTTTAAAAATTCGATTTATCTTCCACTTTTTAAAAAGTTATCTTTCAGTTAGAAAAAAAACCCTCCTATTTCTGAATAATTTGGGCAGTACTATCAATGTACATTCTTGCACAGCTGTAAATATCTCAGTGCTATTTTTAATAGTAGATTGCAAACCCCTAGGAGCCAGATATATAACTTCATACTTTCTTGCATTTCTTCTTGTAAGCAGTATATTTTAATTTTGTTTACTTTGAACACTTTGCACCTTTTATCCAGTAAAAAACAGATAAAAGGAGAGTGTTATTCTAGAAATAGGTATTAAAAAGAGCAAGATCCATCCACTCTGCCCCAATCCTCCTCACCATACTGACAGAGTCGCTACATTAACTTCTAGAGTTCTGGGACAAACCCGGGTCACATACAACAAGGAATATTCACTGTTTGAAACTTGCTGGATGCTACCTATCCAAGGAAGAAAATATATCTATAATTGTACACAATAAACTTCATATTATCATAACATAAGGTGGGTACATTAATAAAAAAAAGCATGTTTAGAATTGGGTTTGACTATGTCTAGAGGATACTAGTAAATTTCAAAAAGAAATTGGATATAGAAAGGTCTTAATTAATTACAGGAAACTGGAAAGTGGCAAGTGGTTTGACTGGTGAGAGATACTTGAAGGATCAAATTTAGACAACTGTATACAAAGAAGTCTGGAAAAGAAATAATCATTTGGATGTCATGGGAGTTGGGGGAAAGTGTGTGGATTTTAGTGTCTTGGGTCAATGATCACAGACAGTTTCTACCACAGAAGGGGAATTAAATATCCAGGTAGTTGCATAATGCTTACACAGTAAGCCTCAGAACAGAGTAAACATGGTGGTGGCAGTGGAGGTTCTAGATGGGCCCCAAAGTGTGTCTCTCTCAAAATTCCTTCTCTGAATTCCAGGTGTTAGAGGAGGTGCCCAAGGCACTGAACTTTCTGAAGAAGCTTTGCTTGCTCTGGACCTCTCAAACCTAATAGCCTTCTCTGTAACCTTTCTGTGTAGGGGACATGAGCCTTCCCAAATGTGACATATATTCAACATATAAAAAGGCCTACTAAGTTCTCTAGCTTTCTCTTAGTGCATTGAAGATGCAGGGTACAATAAACTGTCCTTCATTCAGAGTGGGTGTTCTAGCATGGTTCAGACCTTGAAACTTGAGAATCTTTACTAATGTGGTACCCTGAATCTTTGCAGGATTACCTCCCAACTACTAGAATTCATGTACCTTGCCAGAGAATCTGGAGTACGTGCCATATTCTACTTTTCAGGTGCACTTATGTGGAGACCAGATGATCTCTTGTGAAAGAGAGTGGGATACTGAGCAAAGGAGTGGAGCAAAGCCATGAAATGAGTTACTGACCTTTCCAAGTGAACGTTAATTTGCATTGTCCTATCTCATGAGAATTAAAAATGGCATACTGACTAAATAGTTTAACACATGCCAAGTCTCAGAAGTTGTGTTGAGCTATTCCAGTGAAAATACTACGTCCAGCCTAGCTGTTGTGACTAGGGCTAACAAATAATTAACTGTGGCTCACTGCCATGCAAAATGATCCATCTGGCTTTTACTGGGATTGGGATGATAAATTGAATAGACATAAGATAGATGTCACTAATTTAGCCTCCTTTAAGTCTTTTTGTGTGGCATTAATCTCTTCCAGTCTACATAGGATGAAACATGGTTTCTAATTTACTTACTTGGCTAGAGACAAGATCAGTTCAGTAGCTTCCAATTAACCATTCTTTTTTAGTATATTTTATTCCATAGATCTGAGAACCGGTATGATTATTCTGCAAAATGCTAACTATACTCTTACTGATTACAAACATGGGGACCACAAGAATGACCGAAGGGTGTCAGGGCAGCTTACTCTCACTGCAATATGAGTTTTTGTCTTTGCACAAGTTAACTCTAATACAGTTTATGATGGGACTGTTTTTCTATTGGTATCAGTGTCTGCTCAGAACCTGCATGCAGTAAGCCTTGTAACAGCTGTGTATTTCTTTTTCTAGAGTAGACAGTTATTCCAGAAAATGGTCATAGGTCTCATTGATGAAAGCATTAGTGAATATGTTATGATGTATACTTGCTGAGGCATTGCTGGGGCTTTTCTTAAGGTGACTAAGCCTCTCCTTCCATGTCTGGCATATAAGTCTGAGAACTAGCTTAAGCCTGAAAATTTGAAAAATAAATTCTGATTTTCTACTATTATGGATAACATTGGCCTTCTGTTCACCTACTTTTGAGGTTTTTCATGTATTTAAGTCAAGTAATGTCCTTCTTAGCTGTCATCTAGCTCACCCATAGTGCAATATAGATTTATTAGACAACACCCCAGACCCTGTGGTCTAAGGTCTTTTGACTGCCATGTTGACCTTGCTAATCATGTCACTCTGTCTCAGTTAAGTAGTTACCTGTCTTATGCTATTTTGGAATGTTACAATTGCCACTGGCTACAGAATCATCCCTTAAGAGGAACTCTGGCCTGCAGAAGAGAGCAACCATTATCTTTACAAACAACATTGGTGACTGCTCTACTTAGTAAATTAATTATTGCTTTGGTAAAGAGTGTGTCCTTTGGCTCTTCCTGAATAATTTAGTAAGTTGGTAGATTCTCTGATATTATAAAATATATCTATTGCAACAGAATCAACTCTCTGAGCTTTTTCATGGTTTCTCCCACACTCTGACAAAGTATTTACAGCATTTCTGCCCCATTCATGGTAAGCCATCATGTATCCACACTTCAAAGATACACTCCGCAGTGCATGAGAACAAGCTCCAAGTGCCTTGCCTGGAAATTCAGTCATAAAGCACAGAAGAGAATTCCCTCCATATTCTTCCTGGCCTTATATCACCTAATCCCCATTCCACCATCTTCAAAATAAAATTATAAGCACATTCTCCAAGGTTCTGTACTTCCTTGATAGAACATTGTAAACTTCTCCCTTACCAAATCTAAAATAATACTTTCTACGTGACATGGTGATATTTGACCCCTGTTTTTTTCTTTGGATTCAGCGAGTAAAGGTAGGGGTAACTGCAAGAGATGAATGCTCATTTAACACTATATTTACCCCATTCTCTGTGTTAATCTTTGTCTAACCCAAGCCTAGCATTTTTTGCCTTCACATCATAAATGACACTAATAGTACACAAATACCTCCAGAGCTTTTTGAATTATTGCTGACTACCTACTCTTGAATAACAGGGGTATTGCATTATCATATGCATCCTCTTCCATCTTGATTCCATAACAATTTAACATAGGTCAGAGTATTAGCAATAGTGATTCAATTATATGGGAAGGGTGATTGCTTCCCTAAACCCACCAGCATTAAGATCGTTGTTGCCATTTAGCTGTCTGGTGATCAATTCTGGAATTGTATCCTGAGTATCTACTTCTTAGGATCAATTCTGGCACCAAATGTGGTAGTTTAGGTTCTCCTAGAAAGCAAACCCTTAGCAAAATTGATGCTTGCTAAAACCTTAGCATTGATTAGAATTAAGTACAGGAAGAAGTTTATTTGTAATTGAATCTATGAGACATTAATAGGAAAGAAGAAATAAAACAGGAAAATAAAGGCAGTCAATTATATGTATGTTGTTAGTCAAGTGACCTCTGAGGTCATCTAAAGCTTAACCATACTAGATCTTCAGGATCCAGCACAATATATGCACAATGAATGGAAAAGCTGTGATGTTTATACACAAGTCACTGTTCATCACTAGTTGAGACCTATGAGGTATGACTGGGAATGGCAGTTAATTATCTGGCAATTCACTAGCCTACAGTACAGAAAGCAAACTTCACTCAGGTGGTCATAGAGCCCAGGCAAAGAAATACTCATATTGGCTACTAAGAGTTGAGACTGTGTTGAAGTGAAGAAGTAGGGGTATAAAAGTAGAGCACCAGTGCTTCTGTTGCATAAGTCTCTGCTCCTAAGTCACTATAAGATAAGAAAAACTTCTCAACTTTACATCCTTTCTTATTTCACAGAAATAAGAATATGCCTTTAAACTTTATTTCTGAAACTTTGTATAAACAGGCAACAAAATGAGCAGAAATAACATTGACCAATTAGGAAAGACAAATATACACACAAACTTAAAAATAATATTTGTTACTAGTCTTCTTTTAAATGTAAATTCTCTTCCACCCCTGATTTGTATTTCTTGGATTCCAATAGCATCAGGGGTAGATTCATATAAAATTACACAGACATTGCCCTGGGGAAATGTGGTTGGAACTGTGGCCATATCTAGTTGTTTTCTAATTCTCCTGTTTTCCACTTCTTAGATTTCCTTACAGGTGTAGATTCAATATTTTCTTTCAGGACCTGAGTTATGGTGAGTTACTGTTATGTAGTAACTTCTATTATGCTTGCTACCTGCATACACACAAGGTCTGAACCAAGAAGGCAGGAACAGAGCAACGCACACTGCATAGGACTTGTCTCAAGAAAATCACATTGTCATATCTCTTTTGTAACCTTGTTAAAGTCATTTGTTTCAAGTTGAAATATTTAGTAGTAGAGTGTGACACCCCCAGGAATCCCTCCACCCACACAACAATCAGGCCGGCACTGCTCTACTTGCCCTACACAAATACACTTGAATATTTCCAAAATCTATGCCATTCCTCTATTCCAAGGACTTTCTTACTCAGGCTTACCCGTATTCCTATTGAACTAGTTTGCCTTAATTATCTCCTTTACGGACTCAAAGTTGAATGGTAAAAACCACAGCTATTCTACCTAGAAAAATAGAAACCTTGTCATTACCAAGATAAATAATGTCCTTACTAAAACTACTACATGTCAATATGAGCTACTTACGTACATTTTATTTGTAAATTTAAAAATCATTTTCTCCTTTGAACTTTTTTGCAATTATTGGAGTTATCTTACAATATGTATGTATGTCTTGATTATTAGGTCAAAATAATAAAGTTTATTAGCCTTCCTACAGGATTAGAAATTTATTCCATTTTGACCATCAGCTTTTTATAATCTATGCTATTATAATGAGCCTAAACTACTTATTTAAAACCCAAGGTTTCTCTTAGCTATTCAGTAGCAAAAGGTAATGTTCTTCAAAGAGAATACATATATATTCTGACTGAAATATTGAAACATAGTGCAGAAAGGTGCTAAAGGAATAAGTTCTTCATAGCTAGCTGTATTTTCAAGATGGTTCCCTTTCCAGAATTTTTTTCAAGATTTCACAAGTTTTCATACCCTATCTATGTGGTGCTTACTTTCTGCCAGAACAGCTTCATCAATAGGAGCAGACAGAACAAAGCTGTGACAGGGAAGTTACACTGAGTCTATTTGTTGACCACAGTTTATTTCCCAACATTCATAGATCTCACATCTATCCATATCAACTTTTTGTGCATATCAACTTTCATTGTCAGTATATCATGCCTATGCTATCAATTTTCGTTGATCTCACATCCTACTGCAGTCAACATCATAAACAACATTTAGACAAAATAATTTGAATATGCCTGAGCTCGTTGATATTATTGAGGAGTTGCCCTGGTCTGTTTCCATAGAATAGAATGTTGCATAGGGTGTGTAGTATGAAAGAAATGCAATGGATTTCCAGTATGATAGAACCAAATTTAAATTTGGCTTGAACACTGCCAAATTGTTTGAACTTTTGAAAACTGCGTAATCATTTCAAACTTCAAAATTCTACTCGATAGAATGGGAATTTGATTGTTGTGATAATTAAATATAAGTAGTTGAGTAGATTGTTTTATGTTAATTATGCATTTAATGGTTACAGTATTAGCTCTGTATTGTTACTTAACATATTACTGCAAACTTAGCTTCCTAAAACAACACACATTTATTTCAAAATTACTGTGGGTCAAGAGTCTGGGCATGGCTTAATTGGATCCTCTATGTAGGATCTCAGATGGCTGCAATCAGTTTATTAGCCAGTTTGTGTTCTCATCTGGAGACTGGACTTAGGATTAATCCACTTTGAAGCTCATTTGGTTTCTTGGCAGCAAGATGAAGTCTTATACAACTTAACTGTAATGACAGAAGGAATATCTCATCATCTTTGCCATATTCTCTTAACTAGGTGCAAGTGACAAGTATCTCCCACTCTTAAGAGGAGGTAGTTATACAAAAGTGAACACTAAGCAGGTAGAAATCACAGGGTCACCTTAGGGTCTTAAACAGTAAATAAGTTATTACTTCTCCAAGTCCTAGATTTCCCGAGCTTTTAAAGCCCTTTTGGCAATGATTTTACAGAACTAGGTCTTAGATTCTTGCTGATAAAATTTCTTTTAGCATATGTTTCTTAATGAAAAATGAATGTGTGATTTTTTGTTTTCCAAAGGGTTCTTATAATAAAAATTATTTCCAATAGCTTATGAAGTATGACTTCAATTTCTTCCTTAGGTCTCAATACTAGAAAAAATCAAATTTCCCATTTCTGATAGTTAATCAGATGTTCCTCTAGTCGCATATATGCTTCTCTAATATAATTATATATGTATATACATATAATCATTAAATTTAACACATCATATTATTCAAAAGATAGCCTGAAGAAAGATTATATATAATATATATATGTAAATTGCTAGTAGATATATTAAAAATTGTATAACACCTTTGGTCATATGAATACAAATTTAGAACTGCAGTGAAATATCAGTATATACCTATCAGAAAGGTTGAAATTAAAAAAGATAAGACAGATAATACCAGGGCTTGAAAAAAATATGAAATAACTAAAATTTTCTTATATTCCTTATGAGAATGTAGTCAAACTACATCAGAACATTTTAATGGTATTAACTTAGGCTAATTCTATGACACATGCTAATTTTATGACCAAGAAATCTCACTCTTACAGAGCAAAGAAAAAAAATGAGCATGTATGCCTATTAAAAAATAAGTGAAACAATGTATTTTTTATAATTTTATTAATAATAACCCCAAATTGAGAATAAACCAAATGAACATAAATAGGCAAATGAAATATAATGGAATAATAAATAGCAATTAAAAATATCAAACTACTGATATGAATAATAGCTGCAAATCAAAAATTTATTATCCTAAGTCAATGACACCAGACAGAAAAGGGTAAATACTAATAATTTAAATGAATTTCAAAAGAGGACGAATTCTTGATAAATAGCATAAAATAATGGTAGATGTTTAAATGAAATTTTTTTTTTTTCCTGAGGCAAGTATTAACTGGGAAGGGGCATGAGGCACTTTCTGGGAACCTGGACTTTCTATGTGTTGATATGGATTGTGATTACATGGCTGTATACGTACATAAAATATATTCAAGCTGTATACCTAAGAGTTACACAGTTCATAAACTTTATAGCTTATGTTACACTGCAATAAAAATGAAAGCAAGCATGCATATGGCTAGAGGAATGCGGGGATGAGCCTTAGGTGTAGGAGGACTAGGCTCTTACAGTATTTTCTTTAAAAATAACCTTTGTTCTACCTTGACTTTTGTTACCAAATCTTAAACTAGATGAATTCTGAAATCTTCCACTATTCTGCGTATGGACTAGTGAGTAGCTAAACACATGTGAAACCTTTTTAGAGTTCTACTATTATTACTACTCACAAAAAGTTTAAATGTGGCAATTTTATTTTTATTTTTTGAGACAGAGTCTCGCTTTGTCGCCCAAGCTGGAGTGCAGTGGTGCGATCTTGGCTCACTGCAACCTCCGCCTCCCGGGTTCAAGTGATTCTCTTGCCTCAGCCTCCCGAGTAGCTGGGACTACAGGCATCTGCCACTACACCTGGCTAATTTTTTTGTATTTTTAGTAGAGACGGGGTTTCACCGTGTTAGCCCGGATGGTCTCCTCGATCTCCTGACCTCGTGATCCGCCTGAAATGTGGCAATTTTGCTAATTCTACATTTTACTAAGTTTTATATTTTGCCGATGAACAATGTAAACACAAAACTTCCCTTACTCCATATTATTCCACTCTCAAAATTATATATATGGAAAGATGTATGTTCTTATAGCTGGCATTTTGAATTAGAAGAGACAATAATTGTTAAATTCCTTTTTTTCCCTATTTTAATGCCATCTCCTAATAAAACTTCCTGGTTATATTTTCTGCTCTATAAAAAGAGTAAGGACTTAGAAATCCACAATATGATTGACACTTACTTACCAATATATTATGATAACCAGTACAACTTACTGTACCATTCAATGTGTTTTTATAGTCTTCAGTTAATTACATGGTAACTAAGACCTCGTAATATACAGTCAAATGGGTTTGGCTATAGATGTGTCTAATCATGAACTCATATTTTTAAATACTCACTTCAGAGGATTTTTTTAAGCTACCTTACTGTTATATTCACCTTATTTCTCCATTATATTTTCTATAAAAACTATTGATAGATAACATTTAAAGCTAATACTTTAAAATAAATGTTTATGCCTTTGAAGGTCTGAGAATTCCATTAAAAGCTTTGATTTTACATACATTTTAGGCAATAGTGGAATTTATCAGATATTTTATTCAACTCTTTGAAATTAAGATATATCACAAAAATTTGAAATTGTGTCATCCATAAAAACTAATCATATCTCTTCCTTTGTAAAAGTATTTCAATGGCTGTCACTGGTCTGGTGGTAAAGGTGAAACTTACTATCATGTCTTAGAAGGATGTACCATGTTCTTCCCTTATATAATTGAGTCTCTGCTGCCATATCCAGCCTCAACTCACACTGCTCCTAAATCTTACTCCTATGTTTAGCCTTTTTATTGTTTTCAATTTCTTAAATACAGGCTTTTATGTCACTTATGGACATTTGGATATTGTAATGATATTATAGTCTATTTTAGAAGTTTTTTTTCAAATATGGCAATTATGTTACTATATTAGAGTCTTGAAAATAATAGAGTTGGCCAGGCGCGGTGGCTCACGCCTGTAATCCCTGCACTTTGGAAGGTCCAGGCGGGCGGATCACGAGGTCAGGAATTCAAGACCAGCCTGGTCAACATGGTGAAAGCCCATCTCTACTAAAACTACAAAAATTAGCTGGACATGGTGGTGCATACCTGTAAATCCAGCTACTCAGGAGGCTGAGGCAGAAGAATTACTTGAACCGGGATCTGGGAGGCGGAGGTTGCAGTGAATCAGATCGCACTGCTGCACTCCAGCCTGGGCTACAGAGCAAGACTCCATCTCAAAATAATAATAATTATTAGAATTATAGAGTTACATTATACTATTCAAGAAAATGGAGTAGAATCAAAGAGCATTTTACTGTCATATCCCTAGCCATATGCCTGTTTTCGAGAAAACATTTTTATATTTTTCTAGCCTTTCACATTATTATAAAACGTGTACAAAAGAAAAAAACTGCATATAAATGTCTTTCCATTGATCTACTGATATTAATAAATATTTCAACAGTTTAAAATAAATCTGATTTCTGAATATAATTTTCCCCCGTATAGAGAAAAATAAGTGAAGTAAAAAATAAAGAAGCAACATAGCTCTCTCACTTCCTAGCTGTCTGATCTTGGGCAAATTAAAAGCTCTTTAAGCTTCAAGTTTTCCATGTATAAGATCAGACAATAAAAGGGTTGTGAAATGAACACTCCGTGGATGAAATTTCAAATTAAGTAAGTTGATTAGGTTTCTAGCTTCCACACATGATACAGATGTTACTCTGTCCTCATAAGAAAGATTGAAGGCAGAATGACAGACGGGACCCAAGAAAGCCATTCCCATGATGCATGCCTGGGGAAGCAGAACATCAGTTTCTGAGGAAAGACACAAAAGTCCATGCAGATTGTATTCTATATTACTTATGGAAAAAAATAAAAGTCGCATCCTGTGGAAAAGGAGGAGCTAATGATGTTGCTGTAGGAGAGAATGGAAATAAATAATGATAAATGGGGCAATTACTCAAAAAAGCATAACGATGTGAAATGTCCATACACCTAAAAGTACAGGTCTAAAATATATGAAGCAAAACTGGTGAACTGTAAAGAGAAATAGACAAGTTTGCAAAATTTATATCTCAGTTTTTCATAGAATTGATAGATAAAGTACAGGACATATTAGTAAGTACAAAGAAGTAAACAGCACTGTCAACCAACGTGATTTACCCAACATCCTGAAATGCTCTGTAGAAAAGAGATTATATATTATTTTCCAGTGCCCATGTGTTATTCACCCAGGTGGATCATATTCCCGGTGACACAGAAAAACAAGCTCAAAATACTGAAATCTGATAAAACTGTATTATTGGGACATAATTAAATAGCATTCAGTAACAGAAAGATATTTGAAAAAAAACAAACCAACTATTTAGAAATTAAGAACATACATCTAAATAACCAGTGGATCAAAGAGAAAGTCAAAAGAGATTCTGTAAAATATATGCCAATGAAAAAATTTTTTTACCAATATTTGTACGATGAAGCTAAAATAATGCTTAAAGAAAATGTATAAAATTCAGTGTCTTTGTTAGAAGATACAGATGTCCAAAAATCATCTGTGATAAGAGAAGGGCAAATTACATGTAAAGCTAACATCAGTAAATAAAATATACATTAAAAACTTGAAAAAAATGAAAATATAGATAAAAAATTGAAAAGAAAACCAGAAGTGAAAAATCAATCTGTAATGAAGATAGTTATTTGAAAATATCAATAAAATTTATAGACTTCTAGTTAGACTGACAAAAAATACAAAAAGAAAAAAAGAGAAAAGAAAAGGCTATTAAAGGAATATTAAAAGGCTATTAAATAAATACTTTAACAAAACTCTCTGTCGTTAAATTTGACCAATTAGATTAATTGGAAACATTTTTTAAGTAAATAAACTACCAAAAATTTTCCAAGAAGAAATAGAGTGAGTAACTTTATATCTGTTAAAAAAATTGCATTTGTTGTTAAAAAATATAGCCAAAGAAATCTCAATATTCATGGAGCTTCTTGCATAATTATACTAAATACTTAGTGAAGAAGTTATATCAATCCTACACAATCAGTTCTCCAATAAAGAATGAAGGGACCACCTTCAAAATCACTCACTTTTATGACAGCATAATTAATACACCTCTGAAACTCAATATGGATATTACATTAAAAGAAAACTATAGATAATTATTTCTCATGAACATAGATGCAACCAACTTTAACAAATTATTGGTAAATCAAATCCAGGGACATATGAAATTGATAATATATCTTGACCAATTTTGTTTTATCTGGTTATTAAACATTGATTCAAAATTGGAAAATCATCCAATGTAACTCACCATATCAGCACACTAAAGGAAAAAAAAAGATAATCTTAATAGATGTAGTAAAAGCACTTGACAAAATCTAACATCCAATTATGATATAGAACTTTCAGAAAACCAAAAACAGAGGAACATGTTTTCAGTCTGAGAAAGTATATCTTAGACAAACAAATCAAAAACTGTAGCTCACACACAGTTCTACATAATGTTTCTACATATTGCTGAAAAACTGGGTTTTCTCTCTCTAAGTTTGGAAAAAACCAAGGATATCAACTATCACAATTCCTGCATAGTATCATACAGGAGGTCCTAACAAATGCAATAAAGCCAGTAAAGAAATAAAAGACATACAGACTGGAAAGGCAAAATATATAATTATATCTATTTGCAAACATCAAAATCGTTTGGATAGAAATTAGTGAAGAACCAACAAAATGCTAACAAAACTAATAAATGAGTTAAACAAGTTTTCAGAATTCAAGGTTAATATGAAATGTTAACATTTTTATTCTACTAATGAACAATTAGAAACTGATCCTAGAAAAAAGTACTATTTACAGTCGTAGTATTAATCATGAAATGCTTAAGTTTAAATCTCCTAAAATACATGTAATATATGTATCCTGAAAATGATAAAACTATAAAACATTGATTAAATATAGGAATTAAGTCGATGAACAAATATAGTGTATTTATAGCTTGTGATTCTATATTATTAAGATCTTAGTTGTGTTCATATGGACCTATAAATTTAAGCAATCCCAATAAAAATTCCAAAGAACATTTGAAGGAATTGACAATATTTACATGAAAAGTCAATGAAGCCAGTAGAGACAAAACAGTTTTGAAAAGTAAGAACAAAGCTAGACGACTCTTGATAGTTGACTTCAAATCTGTAGTAATCAAGACAGTATTTTATTGAATAAAAAAGAGGCATATAAAACAATGCTAAATAATAGAATGTCCTAAAATACATACGTGTGGTAATTCGATTTCTTTTCGAAAGCCAAAGACAATTAAATAGAAAAGGGGTATCTCTTTGATAATTTATGCTAGAGATAGTAGATATCCTTATGTGTAGTGGTTATCAAATATATATCTAGTAATCCTTTTATACTTCCTCCTCCCTCCTTCAAATGGGAGGCTAACTCATCTATCCTTGAATGTTGTCTGCACTTAGTAATTCACTTTCATCAAGTCAAATGCTGTGGAAATGAAGGTATGTGTCATCTGTTACTACATTATACTAGGCATTGCTGCTTTCTCATCGATCTGTCTCTTGGATCATTTGGTCTGGGAGATTCCCTTAACATGTTGTGAGGACACTAAAACAGCCTTACGAAGATTTCCATGTGGCAGAATTGAGACCACATTGCAACATCAATGTGGGTGCTTAGAAATGGACCCCTCTCCTCTCAGGCATTTCATGAATGTAGCCTGGGAACATCTTGATTACAACCTCATGAGAAACCTGAGCTAGAGCTACCCTGCTATCAAGTTCCAAATTCCTAACCCACAGAAATTGTGAAATAATGTATGTTTGCTCTTCTAAGCTACCTAGTTTTGGGGGTAGCCTTTTACGCAGCAAGTGATAACTAAATTCAGTATGCAAAACAAACAAAAACAAACATGGTTTACAACTCTCCAATAAAGTTAAATACTGTATAAACTTAACCATTTGATCCTGCAGTTCCTTCTCCAGGTATTTGCTTAAATAAAGCAAAAGCTGTTGTTCATACAAAACCTGTAAGCAAATGTTTATAGTGGCTTTATTCATAATCGCAAAAAACTGGAAAGAGCTGAAATGTCCCTCAACTGGAGAAGGGATAAATGTAGTATTATAATCTTAGCAGTAAAAAGGAATGAACTATAGACAAATGAAACAATGACTGAGTTCCAAGTACATCATGCTAAGTAAAATAAGACAGACTCAAAACACTACATATTATATTATTTCACTCACATGTCATCATAGGATATGCAAAAATGTTTAGTTTTGTAACCTATACATTATCTATAAATTAAAAATGAAATCAAAATCAAATGATTAACTAATGTCCTAATCATCACAGACATTTGATAAAGATGAAATTTTACTATCACTAACTAAAAAATAGTTATATTAACAGATCAACTTTAGTTTCGTCAATCCATTTTCATAATATTTCACGAAGTAGACAAATCTCTAAAAAGTGTTTTTGCAAATAATCCAGAAATTGCCTTTTTATTTATCTTTCTCTTCCAATTTTTAGCATTTCAAAGACTTCCTTTTGCATCTGGGAGAAAAACTGTGGCTCATCAAAGAATTAGGGTCACATCAGATACATGTTGGCTTAGGATATTTTTAATCCTACTTTAGGTTTTTTTCTAACTGTTAGTCATTAATTTACAGTACAAATAAAAATTAGTCATTTATGAGGTTCAAAGCAATGAATAAAGCAGTGAAAGTGCCAGTGCTTGTGAGTTTGTTAATGTTTATACTTGACACTTCATTTATTTTTTTCTGGGCATTCATTTAAAGTCATTTTAATTATTACCTGTTTAGAATAAGATGCAAAAATATCTTCACATAGCCTATAGAATAAAGGAAGAAGTAGAAAAATAAACCATATCATATTATGTTTTGTATTACAGTACACTATAGTATGGTGTACTATAATATATTATACCATACTGTAATAGAATAGAATATATTAGATTAGAATACAATCAAATATAGTATACTGTGGTATATTATATTACACTATATTACATTATACCACAGTACCTCAGGGTATACTATATTACATTCTATTCTAATATATATATATAACATAGTATAGTATACTATATTATACTATATTAGATTATATTTTATCATAAAATAATACATTATATTATTAATAATATACTATATATAGCATATATTACACCATTCTATATAATAAAATACTATATTATGTATATAGTATACTATATAACACTATAGTATACTATATTATAAACAAAATTATGATAGTGTATGGATGTCTTTTTATGGAAATATGCAAAAGAATATGAGAGCACTATGTAGATAGATGCCACGATGCATTCAGTTACAGAAATAAATCTGTTTTTATTACTTTCAGTTGTTTGCTTCTTTATAATAATTTCAATAAATGGTTTATACACTTTCTAATGTAATTGCAGATTTAATTGATTAAAATAGGCTAAGACTTTGTCACTGAAAATAATGTCAAAATCACATTAGCATCACTAGAGCTAGTTAAATCAAGTTATTGTAAAATATAAACATGCTTGATAGATCTAAGTTCCATTACCAACTTAATTAGCTAGAATTTCATTCTGTAGTAGAAATGTCTTTAACTTTCCATCCGATAGTAAATAATTCTACGTGCATTCAATAGAAGAAATTTCACGAGAAGTGATTGTAGTTTTGATGCTGGTGAATGATTAGAAATTTATTTTGTTATGATGTAATGTATGGAATTAAAAGGATAATGAGATTATAGTCAACCATTGAAAATGTCTTGGGAAAAAGGCCAGTAGGTATGCCACAGAGATGCCACATGTGACAGCCAGGAAGTACAATGATAGCACATTTCTGTTGGTGAAGAAAGGTAACAGCTTAGCGTGTGAATGCGTATTTATCACTTAATGAAACTCTCTCACCTATTTCTATGAAAATCAATCTTGGAAGGGAGGTTAAGGAAAATAGAACTATAAAGAGAAGGTTTTGGAGATGTTTAGCCAAATACTCTTATCTGATGAACTGGCTGGGCTACAGAAAACTTGATTCCATGTACAGAAAATAAAGCTTTAGTCTAAAAAAAAAACTTTAATATTTCTTGATGACTGTCTATAGACATAGCATTTATGTCTAGATATACATTATGAAAATTCTCTTGTCATCAGAATTAATAATTGTGTTCCATTATGGGCTGAATTGTGTCACCGCAACATTTATATAGGGAAGTCCTTACTCCATAGTACCTCAGAATGTGACTGTATTTGGAAATAGGGTCTTTCAAGAGATAATTAAGTTAAATTGTGGTTCTACGCAAGAGCACTAATCCAATATGACGGGTGTCCTTTTAGTGGGAGATTAAGACACAAGACAACACACAAACTGAGGGGAAACCATATGTGAACACAGGAAAGAAGACAGCCATCTTCAAGGCAAAAAAGAGTCCTCAGGAGAAACTGTATCAGCAGACACCTTGATCATGGACTTCTGGGCTTCAAAATTGTGAGAAATAATTTTTTGTTGTTTAAACCACCTAATATGTTGTCTTTTGTTATGGTAGCCCAAGAAAACTAAGACATATTCTCATTCCTCCTTCCTTCCAGATGCCTGTGCCAGTTTCTACCTCATCCCCACAAACAAAGTTATAAAGCAAGACCAGATAAGATTTTTTAGAATAAAAAATTCACTGCTTCCCTTCTCTGCCTGAAAACGTCAAGGTTATTGAATAAATAAAAATTATCTAGCATGATATATACAACGTTTCAGAAATTAATTCAAATCTCTTTTTCTAAGCCTTTATATGCTGCTTACCATTCCCAAAATATGTCTTGCTCTTAATTTTTTCTGCTTCCCCACCTTTGCAGATGTTAAGCAATCCCTTAGAATGTTCTTTTCTTCCTTTCCTAGCTCACAATTTTTAATCCAGTTCCAAGTCCTCTTACAAACATCTCGTTTTTCAAAATTATTTGACTATCTCCAGTCAGAAATATATTTCTCTATATATTTCGCAGAATTGTGTACCTATTCATTCATTCTCCAATATTTGTTGAATACTAATTGAATGCCAGGCAGGCTACTAGGAAAGGGGAAAAAACATTAAACCACTTGGAGTTTCATGAACCTTACATTCTATTGAAAGATAGGTATTAAATGAAAATGTATACATATCTCTACAATTAGGATAGCACATGTATTGCCTAATTTATGCATCAATCTTTAGCTTATGCACAATTCATTTGTATCTATTCATATGAATAAATTATAAGTACTGAATAAATTAATACACAAACAAGGATGATATTGTTTATAGGTGGACTCAGAGGCTTCCTACATCCCATGATGCCAAACCCCTTATTTACCCAAAACGCTAAACATCTGCTTGATTATAATTGTTAATCTATTACAAGGAAAACACAGTTCATAAACAATATAGAGAAGAAAATGCAAATTGCAAATATAATGTAGTTTTTGACATATCCATGCTAAGATGTGAGATACCAGATTCTTTTTTGAAAATCTAGATAATTGTAGATTCACATGCAATTGCAAAAGGGGTGCGGGAAGGGGAGGGTTAAAGACAAGATGATTAATGGGCACACATATACTCTTAAATAAATGAAGTTAAGACCTAGTGTTACACAGATCAGTAGGGTAACTATAGTTTGCAATAATCTGTTGTATATATTAAAATAGCTAAAAGAGAAGAATTCAAATGGTTCTAGCATAAAGAAAAAACAAATATTTAAGATGATGGATATCTGAAGTACACTGATGTGATCTTTACAAATTATTGGACTGTTTTAAATTTATCACATATACCCTGAAACTGCATACATCTGTTAATATTATACGTCAATAAAATATAAATAAATAAATAATATCGACAGATCCTTGGTAAAATTTACCCATTTTTCCTGACACTAGCATTTTGTAAAACTACAGTATAATATCACAATTGGAATATTAACATTTATGCAATATATCCACTCAGATATATCCAGTTTTACTTTTATTCAGTTGTATGCATTTGTGGGTGCATGCAAATTCTATGTGCAGTGTTATCATCCGCGTAGGTTCTAACATGACAGTCAAGATACTTACCAGTTTCAATACCCAAGAATCCCTTATGTGAACTATTTATCTACTCCCCTCAGATTCTTTTGAGATACATGTTATTTATTATGTATTATATTTTTATTGTTTGTACATGTAGGAACCACATAGTATCCCAAGAAGAGAAACAATTCAATTAGTAAGAAGGTAAGTACAGAAAGGAAAGAAAAGGGGCAGGGGTCTCATTATTTATTTTGAGTCACTGTCATAATCTGGTTAAACTAATTCTAGGCACTTATTTTTGTCCAGGGATTTCGCTAAGCACAAGAAAGTTTATAAAGATAAGTAAGTAACAATTTAATTTTTTCCCCCTCAATTGTGAGAGGTAATCAGTCTGAACAAGATAAGCACTGTGAGATCTACAATATGCAATCCTTGGATCATGCAATGGCAAGGAAAAGGAGTGGTGCCATCCATGTTAAACTATTTGTTGTTTAGCTTTTCATGCATACACAGTACACACTTGTACATAAACACATTTTACATACTATTGTCCACTCACAAATAATTCACATATTACAGAATATCTGAATGTACTTTTATCTGAAGACTTTCTCTTAATTCCTAGGCTTTTCAGCATTTTATGACTTATAACCATTTCCAGCTACTTATAATGTAATATTTGATAAGTACTACTGACTGCCCCTCTTTGGATTCTCATAGATTTGTCTCTCCTCTTCAATAACAGTTTCCAATGTGGGGAGAGGAGGATTTGTGTGGCAGGCTTTTTGATAGCTTGTTTATCTGAGTATTTTTGTTAAGATTTCATAATTGAATGACAATTTACCTAGATACAAGATTCTATGTTCTCAGTGCTTTGTATACAATATGTTAAAAATGTGATTTCAGACCTTTTTGCCTTTAAGTTTTCCAAATGCAGGTAAAGCCTGAAACTTCAGCAGCCATTTTGATGTCATGAGGGTAATCAGCCTAAAAGGGAATGCCAGCATGCCAAGGATGGTGAGCACAATTTTACATAGAAACTGAGTCTTTGATTATGTTGGTGAGGTGCTGAAATAATCAACTTTGGGAAGAAAAAATGTGTATTTTATTGCTAACTTTCATGCAATGTTGCTGGTGGAAAATCTGTTATGCCTTTGTATAATACATAATTTTAAAAATTAGAACATCTTCTTTCTTTGTAATAAATAATTAATAAAATAATTAAATTTCTTGTTAATTACTGTATTGTTCAGTCAAAATTCATTCCCTTCTAGTAGATTAACCCAGGATGAGTTCCACAGAGCTCAAATTTGGCTACTGGGGTTCAGTAACATCTTTAGATATCTAGGGTTAGTAAGAATCTCTAAGAAAATCAGACTATTGATATTGGCAACACAGCCTCTTCTCAAAATGTCTACTGTCTTCAATGATACTACAACACCCCTCTCTTTAAAAGTTAACTTGATTGTGTGGCAGGTCTTGGAAATGGGAAGGATGTGAACAAGACTCCGAGAAGAGTAGTGGAGGAGAAAGAGACAAGCCGACACACCACAACATTTATGTGACATAAAATCTCGAGTTCTGAAATATTTTGATTTCTGTATCCCCAGTGGACAGAGCATGCCACTACCTAGCACAGAATACATATGTAGATATTGAATAAATAAGTTATCCCTATAAATAGTGGAATCAACTGTTTCATTAGACAGAGGCTCATATGATGATGGTCTACAAGAAGTGTCTACATCTAAGTTTTAAAATTCAACATTCAATATACTTAGTACATTTAAGTTATTTGTTGAAAATGTGCAACAGTTTTTTAAAAACATTATTTTTCAGTATAGTTTAGTAGATCCATACCTATTCTTTTTTGGATTCCAAGAATGAGAGAAATGTAGCAAGTTTGGCGTTGCTTTTCAACTGCCACAGTCACAAAATAGCTTCCTATTAGTGAAGAATTTTGTTTTCTGCCTTTTTACTGTGTAGAATGCTTTCCAAGTAGAATATAAACCTAATTCATTCATATTGTGCTAAGTATGTTTGTATCATTAAATTTTTGAAGAAAAACATCAAGCCGTCAGCTTCATGGAGGTCTAATTAGTGTGCAGAACTGCCTTGACTACATTCTTAAAAGATGTAAGTAAAACTATAAAAACATCTTTCTTGGTGTTGAGGTTTTAAATGAATTAATTAAGTTTATTCCAATTAGGTCATTTTTCTTTCAAGAAATAATATCACTTTCAACATTTTCTAATGTTTCATATGTAAAATGAGTAATCTAAACTTGGAGTCTCTACGTCCTCAGCTTGCATACATTCTGTTCTTCACCTGTTAAAATATAGACAAATTCTTTAATGAAGTTCGTCTCTATCAGTTCACAAATTGTCTCTTACTTGGTCAGTACATTAACAACTTTTAGGCCTCCTACATCACTATTTTATTGCATTGGCTGTTGTAAAATATGTTCTCAAATTTTTCTTTTGCTCTAAACCCCCTGAATGTACTGTGTAATTCCTTGGCTGATTTTAAATTGACATTTAAAATTACATTTAAAAATGTATATTTTAGATATTTGCCAAGTATATAATTTCAAAAATGATAAAAAATATTCTTTAAGGATAAAAATATTTATTTTTATATAAATGAATGGAATCTAAAAGCTATAGTGATTTAATACCTGTCATCAAAAATTCATCGTATATTAATGTTCTCTTTTTCACTACTCATAAATCGCATGCTGTTTTATTTTCATTTTGTTTTCACATATTCTTTTGACTTCTCTGATAGAATTGATCATTATATAATCTATTTAATTGTTTGAAAACATTGTATCTATCAACCTGTTTAGCATTCTGTTATAGAATTCTGTACATGTATTAGAATATAAGTTTTTCCAGGGAACATACATTTTTAATATTAGAAAATCTCTTTCGTTGTTATTAAACATGAGTTATCATTTATATGGTAATTAATACAAAATCAAATAATATAAGCAAGTGACTGTTTTGTATGAATAATTATTAACTACAAATACTAAAATATTAATTAAAATGTATCTGTTAATATTATTCCATGGAGAAATATTATCAGCTTTTTCAAATAATTAAATTGTCAAATAGGTGAATTTATGCAGGAAGGTGATTTTAGTTTTCTCTTAGTGATGAAAACTATCAGGCAAATAATTATAATTATTATTTTTCCCAGTCATATTCCTGAAATGCTTCTGTCAATTCAATACCCTTTAATAAAAGACTCAGCTAATATCATTTTAAATCCTCTCTGTTAGAAACAAGGAATTTGGAAGAATATTCAGTATTTCAAGATACCTAAAATAATAGCTACCACTTTCTGAGTGCTTAGTATGTGTGAATCACATTTTTTGTGGAATATTTTATCTATTCTTATTATAATCCTATGAAATAAGATCATACCAATATTATGTATTAAAGAAGTAAGGATCACATATTAGAGATGTTAAATAAATTTTCAAAAATGTTACACCTATAATAGGGAATATTAAATTTAAAAAGTAGTGGTATTTTGTACTGTTCATTGAAATATAGTTAAACAATTTATCTCCTTTGATTGAACTCATATGGTGGCATTTGGTACAAAGCCAAAGTGTTCACATGCTTTGTGCCCTATCATTTTTCAAATTGAGATAATATATGCATATATAGTATTTTTTTTTTTTTGAGACGGAGTCTTGCTTTGTCACCCAGGCTGGAGTACAGTGGAACGATCTCGGCTCACTGCAACCTCTGCCTCCCCGGTTCAAGTGATTCTCTCACCTTAGCCTCCTGGGTAGCTGGAATTACAGGTGCCCACCACCACGCCCAGGTAATTTTTGTATTTTTAGTAGGGATGGGGTTTCACCATGTTGGCCAGGCTGGTCTTGAACTCCTGACCTCAGGTGATCTGCCCACCTCGGCCTCCCAAAGTGCTGGGATTACAGGCATGAGCCACCGCACCTGGCCTCATATATAAATTTTAATAAAATATAGAAAAGTTGTAGAATGTTTTAGTGTCTGTAGTGATGTGGATCCTTAATGCGAACACATGAGAAAAATAATAAATTCAAACTATTTTCTTAATACATGAGATACTTATGTTTCATTTTGTATTTTTGTAATTGTTCATAACTTGGCAAATAAAACTGTAGTAAAATAGAATGCAAATTTACACTGATATTTTGTTATGATGACATAAATATTCCCATATGCTTTTGGATATGAAATTGGTTATGAAACACAAATAGAGTATTTCACTGTAGTCAAAGCTAGTGAAAGTTACAGAAAAAGTAAGAGGAGGCCAGGCGCGGTGGCTCATGCCTGTAGTCCCAGCACTTTGGGAGGCTGAGGCGGGCGGATCACGAGGTCAGGAGTTTGAGACCAGCTTGACCAACATGGTGAAACCCCATCTCTACTAAAAGTTCAAAAATTAGCCGGGCGTGGTGGCGCAAGCCTGTAGTCCCAGCTACCCGGGAGGCTGAGGCAGGAGAATCGCTTGACCTTGGGAGGCAGAGCTTGCAATAAGCGGTGATCGCACCACTGCACTCCAGCCTGGGCGACAGAGTGAGACTCTGTCTCAAAAAAAAAAGAAAAGTAAGAGGAAAGGAATTTGCATTTAAATAGGGTATGGCTGAGACATAGGTAGGATGCAAAAATAGCCATTTATATGTATTTAGTGAGCTTCTATAATTTGTCCAGCACTAAGTTATGTTCTAGGGCTATGTCTATAAATGAAGATTGACACTGAAACAGATACAGAAGCGATCACATCCTTTTGGTGCTTAAATTACTTTGCAGTGAACCTCTGGGTTTTTTTCCTCACCAACACAATCTCTTTCCCTCCACCCTTGTTTTCCTGACTTATCTAACCCCTCCCCCTTTTTGTGAAATTGGCTCTTGTACGGCCATGTGTTATACACAAGCATAAGACCAAGCCAGATTATGTATCTGGGCAGCTTTGATCTTAAACCAAGTCATATAGGAATACAAGTCATTTGAAGTTTAATTATCAGATTTCAGAAACTTAGAGTTAGTTTCTTCATTTCTGCAGTTGAGATTCTGTTAAAAAGAGTGAGGAAGACCCTAATTGTTTGAAGAAAGTCAATCTTAAGGAGGAAAGAATTTGCTTAAATATTTAGGGAAGCAAGCGATGGAGGAATGAAGAGTTGGGAAAATGGTGTTGTGTATGCGTGTGTGTGTGTGGTGAGTGTGTTTACTTGAGCATTCTGCATATAACCATCCATATTAGTGTTGTTCATGGACTTGATACTGACATGAATCAGTAAAGTACCCTTTCTAATTTAACTGCCTTGACTTAGGTGTTTCCGGCATTTACAAACTAAAGAGTTCTGATTAATACATAAACATGTAATTGATTATTATCATACTATATGCTATAAAGAAAAATTCAAGCTTATTATTACTGTATAAACTCTACAGAAGAATATACAATAATATATTACTCAAAAGAAAAAGCAGACTTTTTAATCTCTGCATATTTCTGTTTTTTTCTCTCTTCACACACTACTCAATAGAACACTCTGACAAACTTCCAGATATGTGGGGGGTTTTGCTTACAAACTAAGAAATTATTCAGTGGACACCAGCTGGGTCTTCTCTAATTCAATTCAATTCTGACACTATCTGTGGAGTTGCAATGTGTCCCACCCAGTACATGGATGTGTTTCCCCTATCCAGAGGCTCTCTGAACCCCATAGTTCAGAAATTTTTATGGAGTCTTCATCATGTAGGCATGATTGATTATTAACTCAATTTTCAGCTATTCTCCCCTCTTTGCAGAGTGAGATGTGAGGTAGAAAGCTCCAAGATTCTAATTATTGCTTGGTCTTTCTGCTGAACAGCCCCCAGCCAGGAGCTCACCAAGAGCCATCTCATTAGAAGGAAAGATGCTCATATGAGTCAGGAAATTACAAAGACTTTAGAAGCTCTGTGTCAGGAACTGAGGTCAGACCAGATACTAGAAGAGAAGACTTTATTTCGCAATTAGTAAGAAGTATCTTGGAAGAAGCAGAAAAGATACATATGAGGAAGTCAATTTATTCTTAGACCCAAATTACAGTAACCAGTGATCAACTGTGTATAAGAGGGAACTAAATATTTCCCAAAAAGCCCACGTGAAAATTTAAACATTAAAAAAGAAAGAGAGACAGAAAGAAAGAAAGAAAAAGAAAGGGAGGGAGGGAGGAAGGAAGGGAAAGAAAAAAATTTCTTTAACATTCTAAGCAGGCCAAACTGAACAAAGGTTCAGAAGCATTAATTACCTTATTTCTACTTTACCTTTTTATCTGGTAAGAATAGCAAATACAGTGCCTGTGAAGTGGGTAATTGATATCATTAATAACAACGTTTAGGCCAATAGAGCATCAGGAACAATTTTTGATACTGAATGGATTGCCTAGTCAGGTGAAAATAACTACTTGAAAATCCAATTTCCAGAATACTTAATCTATAAACAGCCTAAGCTAGAGGAGCCAGAGAATAAAATTAAGATTCCAGCAATAAAGAAAACTAAGCTAAAATAGCAATCGTGTATCTCAACACTGAGGCGAGAGGAACCTGAGGGCAACTCTGCTGTAATCTGTCACCAAGAGGTAGAAGCCCACTATGAGATGTTGCCTTCTCTTTCTACTTCCACAGCAACTTCTTCCTCTGCGTGTCCTCCTTCCTTTTCTTTCCTCAAGGACCCTGTTGCCACACTCAACCTTGCCAAACAGAGTTGGTGTGGATTTTGTTTTCAGACTGAAAACTTTTGGAAATTATTCAAGCCTGCAATTACTAGGCCATGAGTGAAATAAATTATGTATGTTTAATTTATTAAATGACAACTTTTCCCTGTCTTTTGTTCTATTTTTATCATTTTTCTCCTCATACATCACTGTCCTCAGAATGAAATACTTTATGAAACTGAAAGTTGGCTCATAACTAGAACTCTATATTTTTGACAATTCTTAGTTGAAAAATATTACTTTTACAGATCAATGTCCAATGACCTAGCTCATAAGTGTTTTTTCCTAAAGCTGAAAAGAAAAATCAGTACTTATATCCCTTTGGATTTCTTAGTACAGGCACTGACAGCTGAGTTAGTGTAAAGCACGTGGTTATAAATTGCAAGTAGGCATTTACAGCCATCAAAATCTCACTGTTAATAACCCCATTGATCAACAACTAAGCCACCCTCTTATGGATACCAGGAGTAAAGCAACCAGACTACTGACCAGTGAAACGACAGAAAAATACCATCAGTAGGCCACATTGACTTGTTACTATGTAATCTGGTTTACCTTATATAAAAAAAAGAGATTTTCTCTTGTCTGAATATATGCATCCTGTATCCCTGTCCATGGAGTAACTGTCAAACTTCTTTACATTGAGTCTAATGGACTAAATTAGAACATTTGCTTTGTTTCTAAATTCCACATCTATTTTTTTTTTACCAAGATATGTTTTCATCAACAAAATTATGTTCTTTCTTATGCTATGTGCTGTAAATAGGTCTATGTCCCCAAACACATACAGATTTAAATGAAAATCAATAGAACCACATATTTGTGCCTATTAAAAGCACAGCTTGTGTTGACTTAAATCACTTATCTATTGATGGCAATTGTTGCACAAGACATAACTGAAAGGAGACACCTCACTATCAGAGAAAAGCAAAATATGTTATCTTTACCTGCAGGAAAATTACCTACTAAGCTCCTCATACTCAGGAGACCACAATTTCACCATAACATATATCTTAATCAAGACCTGGGAGTTATATCAAAGATCATCAAATGTACAGCTCCTATAAAACATCTTGATCACAAAAGTAGTAGACTAGAAAGAAATTCCATTTCAGAGAGTGAAAACCCTACTAGCTTCTGGCATGGAACTCACAGACATCATGTTGCTTTGGTTTCTATACTCTGGTGTTTAATAAAAATGTCCCCTTAATTCAGTGAACTTTACTAAGTATAAAAGAGATGTGGGGAAATAAGAAATGCCCTCAATACATCATTTGTGATAAAGTACCATTCTTTAGTTATAGTTTCCTTGTCTATGAAACTTAAATATTGATCATAACTTTTAGGTTTCTCCTCTATGGGGCATTCCATTAATACATAATTACACTGCAAATTCTAAGGACATTTTCTGTAAAATGACATGGCTGATGCTGTGGTTTAGTGTACTCCATTGAATTATTTTGCCTGAGTATTATGGAAAAATTTATCTAAACTAGGTCTTTATTGCTTCTCACTTTTAACAATGCTCTGTTGGATATAATAGTCAGAAGAAAGAAATTGAATCATTAAGAATAACTTTAATGTTGTATTTTTGACTTTGTTTAACCTTGGAGCAGATAATACTCTTTTAAAAATAGCAATAATAATGCTTCACAGTGAGTAACTACAGATCATATTAAATAAGGTACTCAAGTGTCTTCGTCCATTTGTGTTGACAGTAAAGGAATAGCTGAGGCTGGATAATTTACAAAGAAAAGAAGATTATTTGGTTCACAATTCTGCAGACTGTACAAGAAGCATGGTATGAACATTTGCTTCTGGTAAGAGCCTCAGGCTGCTTCCACTCATGGCAGAAGGGGATGGGGATCCATCATATGCAGAAATGACATGATGACAGAGAAAGCAAGAGCAGAAGGGAGGTGCCAGGATCTTTTAAATAAACTCTTTAGGGAACTAATAAAGTGAGAAATCGCCCATTACTGTGAGGACAACAGCAAGCCATTCATGAGGGATCCACCCCCATGACTCAAATACCTCCCATTAGGCCCCACCTCCAACATTGAGGATCAAATATCAGCATGAGTTTTAGGGGGACAAAGATCCAAACTACAGCACCAAGTTTATGCCAAAGATGTGTTAAAATTAAACACTTCTCACTAATTTAGCTCAATTTTTACACTTTTGGGTTCACACTGAATAATAAATTGTAATCAGTTCTATGTGAGGGTGAAGAAATTCTCCCTTTGCATTGATTGCCTGTAATAAACAAGAAAACCTCATGTCTTTTGTTTGGTTAAACATACATAATCCTCAAAGATGATCTGTAATGTGGCTCAGTTTTTGACATGAGGATCTAAAACTTTTTCTGCATAAGTGTTTAAAAGATTACAATTTGAAGGTGTCTTCTAAATATTATCTCCTTTAACCATTGTTACCTTTGTCAGTGGAGTGCATGTTTACTTGGTTGAGAAGAATAAACAATAGTTTACCTATTTTCATGTTTTCTTTCTTTTCATATAGCAAAATAGGTATATTTGTGGGCTGTGAAAGGTCTAGATCTGTGATGTATTATTTAAAAGCATAAATTTTCATTCAAACTGAGTATGTGAGGATCCTGGCCCCATCCACCTTTTGGCAACCCCTCTGAATTTCAGTAATTTATAAAATGGGGCCCATAATAGTACATTCTATCTAGGGCTTACTTTTATGATTGAAGGCATTAATGTTGATAAAAAACTTAATATCTGACACAAAATAAATTTTTCTGATAGCTATTATATATGGCAATGCAATAGAAGTTTGAAACAAACCATGAAAGACATATATTTGTGTTTGTCATTGATTAATTGAAACAATAAAAAACTCAATTTAAAATAATTAAATGACAATAGATATGTAAACTGGTCTTTTATAAATCTGTTATTTTGTTTCTCTTCTATTGGACAACGTGCTATTCTGAGTGAACCCAAGTTAATAGGCAGAATTGCATTTCTAATGTTTTTTGACAAAAATGTTCTTGTAATTTAGGCTTTAAGGAAAGGAGGAATTTGTAATCCCAGCACTTTGGGAGGCTGAGGCGGGTAGATCACGAGGTCAGGAGATGGAGACCATCCTGGCTAACATGGTGAAACCACGTCTCTACTAAAAATACAAAAAATTAGCCAGGCGTGGTTGCGGGCGCCTGTAGTCCCAGCTCTGCCGGAGGCTGAGTCAGGAGAATGGCCTCCAGGAGAATGGCAGGCGGGAACCTGGGAGGCGAGACTTGTAGTGAGCCAAGATGACGCCACTGCACTCCAGCCTGGGTGACAGAGCGAGACTCCAGCTCAAGAAAAACAAAAAAAAAAAAAGGAAGAATTTATGTTCTTTTAAAAAAACATATTTATGGAATTTTTACCTGAAAATCTGATGGTTGTGAGGTGAACTGAATTATCTACTAAACTCTTAGAGCAGGCCATCACTGACAGGCCTGGCAGCATGACAGAATGACAAAAGACTCGGAGCTATGAGAACATCAGAAGGCATGGACAGTGATAGCCTAACTGGAAGCACTGTCAACAGTGGCCTCTATGAGACTCTCTCAAGCAGCTTGCCACATAGAGGGATGTGACAAGGATTAGATGAAGCAGAGGGGAGAATAAAAGAGACGAAAGACACTGACTAATAACTACCCCAACAGCCACACACAGTTTGTGAGCAATATGAATGCCTTGGGAACTGCCTCAAATCACTGGAGACTCTAGAAAGAAAACTCCTGCAGAAGGGTTGGCTGTTCCTAAAATCTTGTTTGAATTCACAGACCTAACACATCTGCCTACATCTTTGCAAAGGATATCAGAAATGTGAAAGAAAAATTTTACAGTCTGGCAGAGGCAAATGGCAAATTCTCTTGCTGATGCTATGAATTACAATTTTGTTGGCTACTGAATTTTCAGGAATAAAGAATATTTGTTTTGTCCATTGATAATTTAAAGTCATGTCTTAGCAAATTTTTTATAAATTCCTTGAACTCAGCAAATGATACTTATGCTTTATTAATGTGCATTATTAATCCATATTTTAAAAATTATAAAATGTCATAAAACATAAGCCACTCATTCACAGATGAATTTTAAAAAATGATTTTAAAATAATTTTAAATGCTCTCATATTATTAATATTTCTGTGCAATTTGATTTTACTTTAGGGTTACAGATACCTTCTGAAAAAAGAGGTATAAATTTAATATTCCTTTTTAGTAACTACATGGTATTTCATAGTGTTGTTACCTTAAAGGATTAAATTGAGCATTTCCCAATTTGTGGATATTTTGGCTCTTCCTAATATTTTAGTCACAATGAGCATTGGCAAAATAACTATTCTGGTGTTATGTTTTTATGAACTAGAACTTTCCGCTATTCCTTTCCCGGAAAAAGAATTGCTGGATCAAAGAATAGATGAATGTTAAATATTAATAAATTTTCCTTCCTTTGAGGCTTTTTGACATTTATTGATTTGTAGGAGTTGTTTATTTACTATGGATATTTTATCTTTTGGGATTCTTAGTTACAAGACACACAAGTTGAGTCAGGCTGAGTTTTAAAAAATATTATAGAATACTGGATTTCTCAACAGATACTTGGGAGTGCTAAGCAGTGAGGGAAAAATTGCTCCAAATCATTTCACAGAATTATAACTGGTAGGAAACTACTGGAAAAAAAAAAAGGTAACCTTGTACATGACGTAACTAGCTTTGTAGTTGAAGTTTGAAATTTGGTTTGGGTATATCCAACTGAAAAGCTTACATTCCGTGCTTTGGTCACTGTTACAAGAGATGCTGAAAAACAAGTGAAGAACAATTTCCAGTTCTGACAGTTCCTAAAATGGGAGCACAGCATGTAGATAGGTGGGAAAGAACTTTCCAGGCAGGAACAACCAGCACTGAATGACCTTGAAGAGACGGCATGCCTAGCATGTTTGTGATACAGCAAGCTGGAATCGGCAATGGGGAGGGTAACCAGAGGACTAGGAATGGTATAAAGATCGGTGAAAACAGGACTTAGTAGAACCTGGTAAGTAATTTGAATTTTTTCTTTGTGAGGTATAGAAACACTGGATCACTTTGAGCAAAGAAATGAAACTCACTCCATTACAAAATGTTTATTCTGACTCTTGTGTTGAAAATAGAGTAAAGGTGACAAGACAGAAGGCAGAGAAACTGGCAGATGAGTCAGAAGATTGGTGAAGCAAGTGAGAGATACAGCGTGGACCAGAGTAGCACCTGTGGACTTGGTTATAAGTTGGGGGACTGGAGTTATGATTGGAAGGTAGAGCCAATGTTATTCCTAATAAATTAAATGTGTGTGTGAGGGAAGAAATATGAGTTAAAAATAACTTCAAAGTTTCTGCTGAGCTAATGGAAAGTTACAGTTGCCATCATGGGGATAGGTGGATCAGGTTTAGGTGTAAATAAGTAGGAAGAAGCTAGGAATTCAGGTTCTGGGACTTTTTAAAATTTCGACATGTATATTGAATATTCAAGTGGAATACAAATAGGAGTTGGAAAGTCAGGAAAGTGTTCTGAGATGGAGATATAAATATGTGAGTTACTGGCTTTTCAAGAGTGTTTAGAGCATGGTAACGAGTGAGGTCATCAAAAGCAGTAGCATGAATACACAAGAGATGTCTAAGGCCTGACACCTGGAATACTCCAATGTAAAGAGCTTGGGGAGAAGCAGAGAAACTAACAAAGGAGATTGAGATGGTGTTGCAAATAAAACCGAAGAAAAATCAAAAGCCATGTGATACCCAGCTCTAGGAAGCACAAATGGCAATTTTGTGCAAATCAAAAATGTGTCCTTTCCTCATGGCACAGTACTGCCATCTACTGGAATATGTTTCCAAAAACTGTATTAAGATTATAATGCCCCCAAGGTAAATGTCCTTCAGTGCTTAGCTGTAAGCAGTAGAGAAAGTGTATCAAGGGGGAGGAAGTATATCAAATGTTTCTGATCTGTTTAAGGCTTATGAGTATTGAAAAACGATTAATGGATTTAGCAACATTAAGTATGTGTTGACCTTGACAAATGCCGGTTTGAAGTCATGAAAATGAAAGTTTAGTTACTGTTGAGTTAAAAAAAAACTGTACACATTATTATTTTCATTTTCTTTTAAACCCACAGTAACTGAACTTCCATTTTCATGACTTCAAAATGACATTTGTTACGGACACCAAATCTGTACAAGAAATCCCCATGACACAAGTTTACCTATATAACAAACTGCACGTGTCCCTGAACTTAAAATAAAAGTTAAAAAAAAGAAATAACCATAGATAGTGACAATGGACCATTCTATCAAGAAATTTTGTTGGAAGAAGAGGCAGAGAAATAGGTTAGTCTGTAGTTGACATGGAAGTTGCTTCAAGGGAGTAGGGTGGAAAAATTGGTCATGAAGGAGAAATAAGGAAAAATTAAGACCACAACACTCCGTAGTAGACGAGAGAGAATAAGATCTAAGGCACTAATGAAGGAATTGTCTGTAGAGACAGGGAAATATATAGTTCGTGCATAGGAGGTGGTGAAAAACAGAGGCTCTAGAAGGAGGGTACATATGGTAATTAGAGTCTGTAGACACTTTCTTCTTTTCACAGTATAGTAAGAAGCAAGGTCAGCAAAAGCAAGTGAGGATGAAAAAGGAGATTTGAGAGCTCTCTGGCTAGCATCTTCTCACTTTTATTATTGCTATGGGAACTAGGAGAATCTCAAAAGTATTTACATACTTCTTGGAGACACATTTTTCCTGATGAATATTTAATAGCACCAGCCTAAACAAATATTATTTAGTAGAACATGCTTGTTTTTAGTCATCTTCTTTCCTCACAGTGTTATCTGTTCTACTCATGTATTGATGAGTGTCCATTTCATCTGAATATTACCCAACAAGTTTGCATCCTTCTCTGACCTTGGACATTGGCATGTGTTCCTAACCTTGTTTCCTTCTCCATCAATGATACACATTATTATTTAATTTCCAAACTCTGTCAAATAAATGTGTGACAATATATTCATGTGATAAAAATAATCACTGATAATTTGCAATACATTTGTAGAAGTGTGACTTATACCTTATTTGTGTGCTGACATCTAGTGCAGATCTCAGAGTCAGGCCAACTCTCCATTGTCCTCACAATCCTACTTGTCTTAGTCTGTTTTCTGACAGACTATTTTGGATTGGGTAACGTATATTGAAAATACATTTATTTCTAACAGTTATGGGGGCTGAGCATTCCAAGGTTAAGCGCTGCATCTTGTGAGTGCCTTCTTGCTGATGAGAACTCTGTACAGACTTCTGAGCCAGCACAGGGCATCACGTGGTGAGAATGGCGCATATGATAACATGCTGTGCTCAAGTCTATCTCCCTCTTCTGGTAAAAACACCAGTTTCATTCCCATGATAACCAATTAATTAATTATTTAAATACACGAAACTATGAATGGGCTAATCCTTTCATGAGGGCGGAGCCCTCTTAAAGGCCTCATGTCTCAATACTGCCACATTAGGGATTAAGTTTCAAAGTGAGTTTTGGAGGGGAGCAACCATAGCACTTCACTTCCCCATTTTCTGACCAAGGCCTTCAGACTACAGAGTAGCTATTTAATTCTATGTTTTTGACATTGTCCCATGCCTGCCTCACTTTTAGTCCAAGAGGTATAGTTTTCATGGTTTCAAACAATGCTAACAGTCCCAACTGTCTTTTCTTTATAAGATCAATATGGAAAATTTGATGAAATAAATGAAAAAAACTGTATATATACTAAACTTCTATGAGCTAGTTAATACAGAATTTCTTGTGTCCATTGTTGATGGGGATGACTTAAATTTCAGTTGAGTTCCTACCTAATTTCAACTTTTATTCTTGAATGGGGATTTCCCCATTTTGATTACTGTTATATTCAAGAAACCAATCACAAGAAATATTTAAGGATAATAATGGCTATTTTCTTGCCCAAAGTGGATATTTTGCATCTCCAAGTTTCCAAATTATTGCTCTTACCAACTTGTTGCCTGTAATCATATTATTCATATTGATAGTGAGAATCTTTATCTCATTCCCTGCCTTTAAAGATAACTTTTATTATAAATTTTATTACTGTTTACAGGATAGGATGTTACTTTAATTCTTAGTTTTCAATGAGCTTTTATTAAAACGAAGTATTGAACTTTTGCTTATCTATTACATTAGCCATATATTTTTCTACTTTAGTTAACTACTTTGGTGCATTGAAAAAATAGATTTTATAATGCATAGCCATCTTCACAGTCCTGAAATAAACTGATAATTATGTCATAATTTTATTAATATACCCTGGGTTTGGGCTAACCACTGATTCATTTAGTAGCATTAACATTTTCCTCTGCCTCACTTTTAGTTCAAGATAAAATTGGCCTATGGTATTATGTTTCTACTTTCTTTGTTCAATAATGTTACAAATGTTACCCTAACCTCATAAAACATATAACAGAAATTTTAGTATCATCAACTGGTGAGAGAATTTTTGTTTTCTATTTCCTCTTACACATTCTTTCCAAGATATCTGGTTTCTCTGCAAGGCTAGTTTAGAATGTTACACTTCTTACACAATTCTAGCTCTATATAGGCCATAATTACATAAATAACAGAGGATGAAAATCACTTCAAAGGATGAAACATAGAAATTGATGTAGTGAAGCTTTAGGCTGTCCAGGATAATATTTTCTAATTAAAATGTTGCAAATCTGGCCAACTGAATTATGTTCACTTTGAACACTTATAATAAGGGCTTACTTTTGGTTTGAGTAAATACAAATAAATCGCTTAAGAAAATATGGCATTATTCCCCCTCAGGGTGCATTCAAACTGGAATAAAAAATTATTACAAGAAGAAGATGAAGTCACCAAAAGAGCTGAGAATTGTTAAAATAAAGAATGTCAGGTAGAATACTCATAAGGCTGAACTGGTAACATAATTAGGTACTTGCTAAAAACTTATCAAGGTACAACCTGGGCAATAACACCTTCTAGAATGGCAACCAGACTATACAGAGTGTTAAAAAGAAGAATCTTGGTAAAAATGATACTAGCAATTAAAAATGAGAAAACTAAGGATAAACATGAAGGGTTCTGGAAACAATTCAGGAAGAGATATTTGAAAGGCATGTGCTATGATAAAGTTTAAGTGACATAAAATTAATAGCAATATCAGGAAGCAAAAAAAATAGCAGAAATGGAAAGATACAGAGCGAAAGGGGACACTCACTTGAATCACAAGATTATATGTTTGAGTTCAGTACACTGAAATATTTCATTTTTCAATATGAAAGACATGTAATATAGTGACCTCTAGGCACTCATTTCAATATGCAAGAGCCATTAAAAAGGCACTTCAAGGTGTTAGCAGGATCTACTCCACTATAACCATAGATTGCAGGTTTGCCTTCACTCTGAAAAGAGTTTCCTTTGCAGTTTTATGTGAGAAAAATACAATATCAAAATGAGTATATTACGATACAGAATCTCCCTATTAACCAAATGCAATGACCCAAATATGACCCCACAAGAAGTGAATCTGGTGCATATAACTAATGAGGAGGGTGAAATTGTTCATTCTGTAAAACTGATGGTCAGTCACTGAAGAGAAGAATTTGGGACTGCACTTCAGGAAAAAGAACCAAAACAGTAACACAATTCTGCTTCTACATAATTGTGCGGACCCTCATGAATCACTTGTGGAGAAAACAAAACAAAACCTCTTCTCAGAATTCTGTCCACTAATTTCTAAGGGAAAAAAAAAATGTGGTAGATAGAAAACATGATACTGCTAGAGCACAGACATGCAGATAACAAATGACAAATCTTTCTCTAAATTAAGATTTTTAAACACTCATTTTGCTATTTGAATACAGGAAGATGACTCCTGTTTTCTCATTTGATATATTTAATGGAGAGTTCACAGATAACAATTATTTCCTTGGCTTAAGGTCAATGTATTAAGGTCATGGTAGAACTGGAAAATAAAGAGAAAAATGCTGAAAGTTTTCATCTTTAGTGTATTTATTATCTATTTAAAAAAGTATTTTAAAGACACTGTTTTTACACCGTTATAATGAATTCAAACTACGTCTCATGATCTTTTGGAAAACTGAAATAATCTCAAATTATTTCCTGAGTACAAAATGTCAATGTAATGGGAGTTTAAAATGTGATGACCCAATTATTTCAATTAAATTATACAATATTTATTAGACTATAAGTTGCAAACTGCTATCACATAACTTTATGAATTGCAGAAGATAGAAGAGGACGAAATAATACATAGGAGCATAAAATTATCTCATCATTCTCTCTTTGATAGAAACAGACAGTATATGCTCATTATAATATTCGATGACTTAGCTGCCATAATTGGTTCTATCTTTTCATAATACTGTTTATCCTATTATAAACCTAAATTCCATTTGATCAATTGTTGGTCTCAGAGTGAAGGAATCAGTCTTGCATGTATTAATCGAAGCTTATGGTATGAAGTACAGCCCAAGATAAATTTTACAAGAAATATGACTATAAGTAAAATAGATTCTGACACTTCTATACAACACATTAACACATCTTTGTCATAAGCATGATTCTAGACAATACTACTTTAGAACTTTAGTTCTCTGTGTTTGAAGGTTGGGAGATTTTTTTTTAATTTTTTACAAGAAAATCTAGTCATATCAAAAATCTGCCATAAGAGAAAGATTTTAAGTTTTAAAGAAGTCAGAACTATAGTTAATAATACTGTATCATTTACTTGAAATTTGCTAAGAGGGTAGCCTTAAGTGTAACACTATGTTATACTTATGTACAAGTGAGTCTTAAAACTCATGATTTTACTTGTAGTAACTTTGATTTGCTCTCTTTACAACCAAGCTTCTTGAAAGTAATTTTGACTCCCAGTTTTCAATTCCTCATTTAATATTATTTTAAGTCATAACACATTGCTTCATTTAAAACTCTCCTATTCATAGTCCTAATTGTTCTTGTCTCTACCAGGCACTTGACATTTATCCAACCATTCAGTTATTAAACAAATATTTATTCAGTGCTTACCTTCTGCCTATTGCTGGGATCTGTCCTGGAAATCCAACAGTGGATGCTTCTATTTTTCTGTCTACCTCCATAAATAGCTCTGCTTCCGTTGGTCTCCAGCAATGCTGTCCAATCTCAACCAGTTAGTTATACAAAATTATTGTAAAACTCATGTGCCAGCATTATAATCTTTTCACCACAAAAGCAGAGCTTATTGACAATAAGAGTAAAATGTTTCAGTTCAGAGGCAAGAATTATACAAGTGAACATTTTGAAGTAATGACAATGTGTGACTATAACAAAATGTAGAGACTTGTAAAGGAAACTACATGATGCCTAGTTGCTGAAACACCATTCATAGTGGAGAAATCAAAGTCACGCCATGTGTGTTTTACAAATCATTAACACACTCAGAATAAATGCTTGAAAATATGAATAGCTTAGAGAGGAAAGAGCTTTTCTGTCCTACTACTTACCTATCTGATAACTAGTGAGAAAATGGCTACTTCAACCTGTATACACATTCAGTGTAACATTTCTAAAACCTATACTTTCTCTAATATTACCAAGCCATGTCAGATGAAAATACATGTAATTTTTGTAGCTATTGTTTTGTGCTAACTTTACTGAATTTGTTCAATCAACCAACAGTATTACATTATTTATTAATGCCCTTGTCTCAGAGCCAATTAATCATAAACATTCCCACAGTTTGAACTGTCTAACAATGGAATGGATTCTCATGTGTTTTCTGCACACTTGCTCCCCAGTGACATTCCATGAGAAGATCCAGAAGAGACTCCCTTCACTAAGGCATTAAGAAACATATGGGTGAGGGGAGATTTTCCATCACTGAAAGTACTCTGTTTGCTCACTTCTGTGGGCCAGATATGAACCATAAAGGAGGCCACAATTGAGAAGTGCTCACAGATTTCAGTAGGAATGATGTGATTCCAGAAAATCAGATACAACATTATAGACCTTAACCACCAAACAAAATGTGGGTATATCTACAATCAAGGCTGGTAGAGTTGTACAGGTCATCAGAGTGCTTTGGGCCAAGAAAACTCTGGCAGTGGCTAAATGATTTTGACATCCTTAGAACAAAATACAGACCCTTTTAGAATATTGCTTAATTCATATAACAAGAAATTCTTCAGGTCTGGAGCCAAAAGCTTGACTCCAGTCACCACTGTGGAGATATAGCCTTTCACCCAGTTTCTATGTTAATTTTCTTACTCAGAGCCCTTTGATTGAATAGGGTGCCTGGAGGACTCTGCACTATTGACGCACCACTCACAGTAAATCTTTCCCCATGCCTTCCCCGAAGAGACTTATGGCCTTTTTTATAGCATATCCACTCTGTGAAGCAATTCACCGTGAATAGCTTTTCCTGGCACCTGAGGAGTTCACCTAGACATATACTCATCTTCATGGATTTCAGAGTCTGGCACTACTGGTCACATCCTTCTTTCCAGAATGCTTTCCCATTTGTTATTGTTGCTGTTGTTTGTTGTTTTGAGACAGGGCCTCATTCTGTCCCCCAGGCTGGAGGGCAGTGGCACTGTCTCCACTCACTGCAACCTCCGCCTCCCAGGCTCAAATGATTCTCCCACCTCAGCCTCCTGAGTAGCTGGGACCACAGGCTTGTGCCACTGTGCCCAGCTAATTTTTACGTTTTTGTAAAGATAAGATTTTGCCATGTTGCCCAGGCTGGACTTAATTAGAGGGCTCAAGTGGTCTGCCTGCCTCAGCCTCCCAAAGGGCTGGGATTACAGACATGAGCCACCGTGCCCTATCTGTTTTTCCATCTGGATTCATGGAATAGCCTCTCCTGATTCTACTTCTATATTTTTAGCTACTTTGTATTATTGGAGCAAAATATAGGCACAGAAATGGTCCTAAATTATAAGAGTGTAGGTCAATGAGTTTCCCAAATAGAACAACCTCATATAATCACCACATTGATCAACAAACAGGGCAGCCCCACACCTCAGATATCATCGTTTTGACCTCTTCCAGTTAGTGACCATCTAGGTTTGTCGTTACCTTGACTTCTAACACTATGAATTAGTTTTGTCTGATTTTTGAGCTTAATATAAATGTATCATACAGTATGCGTTCTTGTATGTATGGCTTCTTTTGCTCAGCATGATAATGTTTGGAAGATTGCTTCAATGTTATATATCATTATAGTACATTAATTTTCATACCTCTTTTGTATGAGTAAACACAAATTATTTATCCATTCTACTTTTGATGAATATTTGAGTTGTTTCCCAAATATTACTCTATCATAATGAAAACTGTTATGAACATTATTGTACAAGTCTTTGCAGAACATATACATTTCGGTTGCTTGATTCGCTCATTAAACATTATTTTTACCAGTGTTCTGAAATTGGTCCTCTTTGGTTATCACACATCACTTTTGTTACTACTTATTTCTTTAAAACTTCTACAAATACATCTGTCTACTGAGAACTTCTGAACTTTTAACAGGTACTTCCAATACCTAATATTTAATTTTTTTTCTTCTTTAATTTTCCTTTCTATATTACCTTCTTAGATTAATGTATGCATGACACATGGTAGAGTTACTTAAAATATCGCCTTTTTCTTCTCATTTGGTAATGAAATGTGTCAATTCTACTGAATTAACAACCCTTATACTTAACCATCTTCTGCCGCTGTCTTAGTTTCTGCCTTTATCTTATTTGAAAGTGTTTGTAAAACTAATTTTATGACAGCAATGCTGATGTCTAGTGATTTAGAGTAGTTGGGCTGTTAAAAATCAGTTAGCACGTTCCAAGATGAAAATTATTATCACAAACTCGTTGAGCAATCCTTATTGTAGCAGTGCAAGAGTGAATGAAGTGAATATCAACTGAGAAACTGGAAAATAATAAGCAACAAAATGCTTGAAAAGAAAAAAAAAAGAAAACAGTTTTTGTGAATGTTTGGTGGGT